>NC_000012.12:113823764-113975279 GCF_000001405.40 Homo sapiens
GCTTGGCTTGGAGGAAGCTGAAACCCTTCAGAGAGGCTGGACCAAGCAGTGGACAACGGCTGGGGAGACAAGTAGAAGTTGTTTCTGTTTTCTTGGAGGCCAGGCTAATGGTGCAGTACATGGCTGGCATACAACAGGTGCTCGATAAGTGGTGGGTGAATAGAACAGATGCAAAGCTCAAGGATTCCAGAGGAGGCGTGGAGGGAATGACAATTAGAGGTGGCTTTGAAGAGGAGGACTATTTGACTTGGGCTTTGAAGAATGCAGAGGAGTTTTCTGTGAGGAGAGGGGATTCAGGGTCATGAAGAAAAGCACGGAGGTAGGAAAGGGCATGGTGGGCTTAGCCCCACAAGCACCTCCTGATTAGGTACCATCATGAACCATGGCTCCACTCCTGTCAGCAACCCCACAGGCAGGTGGTATGCTGCCTCTTGTAGGAGACGGAACTGAGGCACGGACAGGCAGGTCTGAAGTCACTCAGCTAAGAAGCGGTGGAGCCAGGATTCGAACCCCAGTCACACCTAAGCCCACAGTCTTTCTGCTTTTTATGAAAGTCTCGGGTTCTAGGCAGAGAACTCCAAGGGGATCAATGGTGGCAGGAGAGGACGTGTGGGGCCCCTTGGCCCTCCAGGAAAAGAGCGAGGTTGGAATCCAGGCTGGCTTCCTCTGTCAGTCCCTCTGCTAGTCTAACCACTTGTCGATGAGCAGCCTTGCTCACAGATAAGGCTTGATTTGTACAGAGGCAGTGTAAAGAGGCTGTCCAAATCCCCTCCCTTTCCATGGCTCAAACACCTCCCCAAATAAACCACCCTGAGGCCCTTTACCTCCATTTATCCGCAGGCTGTGAGCTCCCTGGAGCTCACAGCAGCGGCCTAGCCTTTTCTACTGAGACCTCCCCAGGGCTAGCACAGTGCCTGGCCCAGAGATGAAGACTTGGTTTCCCTCTGCGTGTTCCTGGGTGAGCGATTTCACCTCTCTGAGCCTGTTTCTTCAATCTCGTCCCTCCCAAATCAATTCAAACATTGAACCCGTTTCTCATCATCTCCACGGCTGCACCCCAATCCAAGTACCTCTCAGCCCCTCACTAGAGACCCCCCTCCCACCAAGGGATCCCTCTAAAACATGTGCGTCAGATCCACCACTCCCTAAGAAAGCCCCAAGTTCCTCTGGAGGCATCACTGGAGCTGGCCCACCTCCCCCTGCTCAAGACCTTTGCACCGGCAGCACCCAGATCTCCCTCTCCCTCTACCTCTGAGCTCCAATGCCACCCCACCCCCTGGCACTTTTTATTACCCACACTGCCGCAGGCCTTTCTTTGTGTGGGATGTTGTCTCACTCACTGCTGTGTCCCTGGCCTTAGCACACTGCCTGGTGCCTAGCAAGTGCTTGTGAAATATCCCAGAAAGGGGAATGAGCGGACGGAGCAAGGGTGAGAGAGAGACGGCAGAGCCTGCCCCATGGTGAGCGTGCAGAAGGTGCGGGAGGTGCCCACCTGCCTGCCACCTGAGAGCCTCAAGGCCTTGCAGCTCTACCCATCATTGTTAATCATGAAAAGGGAGAGGGGGACAGGGTGGGCTGGGGTGGTGGGGGCTGGCGGCCCGGGGCTCGGACTCCGGCTTCCTCTCCTTCCTTGTGACCTCCTAGACACTCTTGGTTTCCTTATAATCGCCAGCCCTGGAGGTGCACAATGGCCTCTGGAAATTGAATTTGTGGGCAGGTAATAGGAACTGGAAAATAGAACGCAACAAAACAGGGCCCACAGGCGATCACTGACGCCCCTCCCATCTGCTAATATGAGTTGGGGATGGCAGCTCACTCCTGGGGCAGGGTCCCTGCCTTCCTGGGCCAGGCCTGGCCTGGGGTCTAAGGGATGGCCAGCGGTGGCGGCATGGGACTTTTTCTTCTCTCCCACATCCTGACAACTTGGAGGGACTGGCGAGGGGCGAGTTCTAGCCCCATCCATTGTGTCGGCTCAACCTGTAAGATAGAGCTGGACTTGGGGTGCTTCTTCCCCATGCTCCTGCACCCCTGGGCCGTGCCACCATTGCCTCTGGCTTCCTCTGCCCTCCTCCCAGGAGTCTGGTCTCAAACGGCAGCCAGAGGGAGCTTGTTAAATCCTCCATCACGGCATGCTGTTCCTTTGCTCAAGCCTCCAGGGGCACCATCTCACCTGGGGAAAAGCTAAAGCTGTCACGTCGGCTGCCAGGGCTACTGAGCAGGCCCTGCCACCTCTCTGCTTCCCTCCCACTCTGCTCAGGCACTCGGGCCCCTTGCTGGCTCCTGGCTTCCAGCACTCCCACCTCAGGGCCTTGCACCTGCTGTTCCTTTGGTCTGGAATGCTCTTCCTCCACGGAGCCACTCAGGGGCCTTACCTTTTCAGTGAAGCTTCCCTCCTTATTTAAAATTCCAAGTCCTCCAGAGTGCCCTGATGTACACTTCCTAATCCCTTTCCTGTCCACTTCCCCCACAGCATGTCTCCCGGTCTCACTGTGTGTCATGTTTCCACTTTATTATCTGTCTTCCTGGCTGGAACATCTGCTCTAGGAGGGCAGGGGTTTCTGCCTGTTTTGTCCACTGTTCCATTCCCAATGCCCAGAACTGTGCCTGGCACATAGTAGATGCTCAATAAATGTGTGCTGAGCGACTGAGGGAGTGAATGACAGGGAAAATTGAGGGTCAAGTAGTGTAGGTTGCTGAAGGACAAACAGCAGCTGAGACGAGGCCAAGAGCAGTTGTTCAGAGCCTTCATCCATGCTCTCATCCCCTCACATGACGGAGACACCTGCAGCACCTGCTCTGGGTCGGGCATGGTGGGGAACAAGCCTGGCTTGGCCCCACCTAAGGCTTTCTGGTCTGGCAGGGGGAGATGGAGAAAGAACCAGATAGTTGTGCCTCAATTTCTAACCTGTAAAATGGAAATACTAGGGGTTGTGGTGAGGCTGAAATGAGTAAAAAGGGCAATGCCCAGCCCCTGGCTCAGTCGATGGTGCTGAGACCAACACCTGTGTTACTATTATTGATAGGAAAGGTGTTGACTTCGTGTCTCTCTTGGTCTTTGGGGCAGTGAGCACTCATGGGGCGGGGGCTCTTACGCGGAGCCTGGCTTTGTGGCCTTGATGAACCAAAACATCTCATTCCTTTACCTGCCAACTATGTACTCATGTATCATAAGCCAGCCTCCGTGCTCCTGGGCCTGGCATATCTGCCAGGGTTCAGGCTGGGCCCCCAACTGCCCCCTGGAGGACATGTCAGGCCCCGAGTTCCCACCGAATGACACCCCGCACCTCCCGCTGGCCCTGCTTCCTTGAGGAGCACCCTGTTTGCAGCGAACAGCTGCTGAAATCCCACTTCCCCGACATCAAAAGCCTCAGTGGGTTTTCACCAAACAAACATAATGCAGAACCGGAGAAAGGTGTAAAATAAATAAACGAAACAAGCTGTGCATTTTCTTTCAGTATTACAGCTGCACCCGAAGATAAACAACAAGTGAATGTCACCAAACATCAATACCCGAGAAATTAACTTGACAAAAAGCTCAGCCATCCCCCGACAACCCCCCAGTCCTGCCCCCCTCCCCACCAACCTCCAACCACCATTTTTGCATTTCTGGAGTTCCCACCTAATGATTTTATTTTTCAATTAATTCCTTGACAGAATGCCAGCCTGTGTCTCTCCCTTCCCTGGCTGGCGCTGTCGGCCCTGCATGGGAGGCGCAGGCAGGCAGGGAGAAAGGCGCAGGCAGGGAGAAAGGGCGGGGGGGCGGGGGGGTGCGTCGGGAGGACAAGAGAAAGCGCTTCTTGGGGTTTTGTTCTGGAAGCAGACGTTGAGGAAAGGCAAGCCGGGGGAGAAGAGCGTGGCTGATAAGGGGAGAAGGGAGTTCTGAAAGGAACCCTGGGATGAGGCAGGCGTGAACAGTCCGGGGAGGGGAAAAGCACTGGGCCAGGAAGCCCAGGGCTGGATTCTGAGTGGAGAGGCCTGAGGTACAGGGTGGAGGGTGCTAGATGCAGGGTGCTGGGTGGGTGAGCTGCCAGGATCAAACCCTGCTGCTCCTGGCTGGGCAACCTTGGGTAAGTTGCTTCACCTCTCTGGGCTCCTCTCAGTTTCTGCAGTTACTGAATGGTGATGAAATCTACACGCCTAGGGTGTGTGAGGGTATTAAAAGAATGAATATATGTATGTAAGGCCCTCACAATAGTGCCTAGCACACGGCAAGCTGTCAATATAGGTTGGTCATTCTTACTGCTGTTGATGGAATCTGTTACTGAGAGCACGAGGGTGGGCTGCTCCCCTCCTCTATAACACGATGATAGCAACAGCAGCTCTCGACTCTGTCTCAAAAAAAAAAAAAAAAAAAAAAGTGACCAATGGGATGGAGCAGGGCCTCCCACTGTGGGCCCACAGAAGAGTGTCTGGATTTGCTGACATGATTTGCCATGAATACAGAAATCAGTGACTAATGTTCAAAAACAGGGAGATGCTACATAAGAATCTGCACCTCTCGTTTCTCTTGAACCTGGAATGGCTAACCTGTGAGTGTGGCAGACCTGTCCCCTCCCTGCCTACAGGTAACTGATGAGGCTGTGCACTAGCTGCCCCTGGAGACACGCAGCCTCACTTATGGGGGCTTTTCTTCCTGTTCCTGGAGGCTCCTGAGTTGCTACTTCCCGAGACACAGGATAGGCAAGGCTTCCACAAACTCCGCTAAGTCGGAGACAGAACTGATTCCAAGAGGCCGGGGTGAAGGGCAGGGGGCGGGGGCACAGGTGGGCGAGGGGAGGAAGGAGGTTGGGGCAGAGTGTGGAGGCCAGAATGAGGCTCCACAATCTTCAGACTCAGTGGTGTGCAGTCCTAGGCTGCTGGGGGACACCAGCCACCTGTAGCTCCCACCCTTGGGGAGTATGAGGGTGCCATGATGTGGGTACCGCAGGGGGGCTGGGCACCCGGGGGCTGGCCTGGCTTGGGAGGCTGCCTGCTCTGGAAGGCTGGCTGAACCAGACCCCCACCCTCAGCTGCTGGTGCCTCTGCATGGGTCTCTCCCTGTCCTCCCTGGCTTCATATCTTGCAGCCCCCACGGGCAGAGCTCTCCTACCCAGATAGGTCTGCATCTCAGGGCTCTGTGTACAGCAGGCACACATCAGGTACGCACAGAATAAAGGGTACTCTTCAGGAGACTGGCCTGGCTCCTAAGACCAAGCCAATGTCCCTTTATTGATACAGGAGGCTGTTTTAGGGCTGTGCCTTTTTTTTTTTTTAAATAGACAGAATCACACTGTCACCCAGGTGAGTGCAGTGGAGCGATCTCGGCTCACTGCAACCTCTGCTTTCCGGGTTTGAGTGATTCTTGTGCCTCAGCCTCCCAAGTAGCTGGGATTACAGGCGTACACCACCAGGCCCAACTAATTTTTGTATTTTTAGTAGAAATGAGATTTCACCATGTTGGACATGAGCTCAAGTGATCCACCCGCCTTGGCCTCCTAACGTGCTGGGATTATAGGCATGAGCCACTACGTCCAGCCAGTTGTGCCTTTTTAAAACACAGCGAGTCCTTCTAAGAACTAGGTATGATCTGAGAGGGTCCTTGTGCAGAGCGGGTGGGCAGGAGCCTGGGCCGCAGACTGGCCTCTGCCACTGTGGGACTCCCAGGAGCTGCTAAGCTCCTTACCTCAGTGTTCCCACCTGTTAAACGGGGACGGTGCCTGCTCTGCTTATCTCATGGGGACCGTAAGGATTCCTGCCTTCAGTCACTCTTAGCAAGCATGACCCAGCATATTCTATGTGCCAGGAATGATGCTGGGGATATGGCAGTGAACAAAACTCCACAGGATAAACTAAACCACCAGCCATGGGGGCCACACTGGGGCTCAGGGTGGACAGGACGAGGTGGGACCTGAGTGCTGCCACTTGGTGGTCCCAGCCTTCTCTGAGTTACCAAAGTTACTCTTCTGCAGACAGGACACAGTAGTAGCACCCACCACAGGGGATTTGATGAGATAAAGCATGAGAGCACTTAGCCCAGGGCCCGGCCCGTTGAGGTGCCAGGCAAACATGAAAGCTAACAATCAAAGGGTCCTGTGAGGCCACCCCAGAGGACAGGCAGTGCCCAGCAAAGGGGAAATCCAGCTGCCCAAGATAAGGCCAAGGGGCGAGCTGCAGGGACCACTCCTCAGGCGCCTGCTGGCTCTAAGCAGCAGGCTGGCTCTGGACTTTCCTACAGAAATTCCACCAGCTAGGCAACATCATTGTCCCACTTTTCAGATGAGGAAGCAGCCGCACTAGGACTCTGAAGAGTCAAGTGGTCACACTTTCCAAGCAGGACCTTGAGCTCAGATAGGGTTGGCTCCAGCCTTACTGGCACAGCATAGCAAAGCCTGCCCCGCAGAGGGGGACACTAGCCCAGCCTCCCTAGGATGGGGGTCTCAACAGGAAAAGCATGAACAGACCCAGGCTATGTAGCAGCAATTTCCTTTTCAAAGGCCATTGGTTCTCAATCCAGCTGTCTGGTAGCATCAGCTAGGAACCCACTGATGCCTGGATCCTACCTCCAGAGGTTCTGATGCAAATGGCCTGGGGTGAGCACGGGATATGATGACTGCTATGATGACTGATGTTATTAATCTTGGTGCTGAGGACCTGGGCTCCCTGAGTGGCTGGAGAGTGGGTCGGTGGGTGGAGTAACTTCCCTCTGTGCTCTGGGTGTCTTGTGTGTGTGCAGAATTCTATGACTGGCCACGCACAACCCCATACACAGGGGCTGGTGAAGGTGCTGCAGCCCTGATACCCATGGAGTTACCCTGAGCTAGGGCTGCGGGGCGGGGGGGGGGGGGGTGGGCTATGCCTGGGGGCTTCTAGACTTGGTCCCACATGTTTGTATTAGTTACAGATACTGGCAGACCTGTGCGGCTGGGAAGCAAGGGGAGTGTCCCGGTGAGGGTGACTCACTGCAGAGGGAAAAGGGAAAAAGAACCAGGAAAGGTGGGAAGGCATCCCCTACTCCTCTGCCTCAGGTCTGGAGGAATCCCCCAAGTCTTAGGGTTTGGTCCACATTAGTTACTGATCTCTTTTCTTTTGGCATAGGCCCTGGGTTGGAAAGCAGAGGCTGAAAGGGAGCAGCTGGTAACATCTCATAGGGCCAAGGTATAGTGGTGTCTGTACCAGGCTGTGTAAGTGCAAAGGCTCGAGGGTCCAGATAGGAATATGATGGCATCAAACAGTCCAGGGGGTCGGGGGAGACTACAGGGAGGGCTATGCATTGTGCGTAAGGGGAAGCCCAGCCTTCGTATAAACGTGCAGCCATTCCTTGGGCCTGGTGCCCTGTGGGAATGTGGAACCAGGCTGGCCAAATCTGATTTTTCAGAAGAGGTCAGAATCTTGATTTTCAGGTCAAATCTTCCAGTAGGAAAATAGTGATGATTCATTCAAAACCATTGTTTTCATAACTGGTAGGCAAAATAAAGATCTAATTTCAGCCGACAACTTGCCAGTGTGGTCTCTGCTCTTTTCTCTCTCTCCTCTCTGTCTACAAAACCCCACTACTTTCATTTGTGGTCATGAAGCAGTAATAAAAACCTTGTCTGTGTGTTTTCCTTGGGTTTCTCCAGGCTGGGCCAGCCTACAGTTCAGAAATAAAACTGGCCACCCCCTACCACCAGCTACAACCCTGGAGGGAAACCCACCCTTCCTCCTGTCCCTGTTTCTAGCACTGTGGTCCCCAAGTCCCCAAACCCTCGTCCAATCCCGGCCCAGCCCCTGCCCCTCCCAAGTCGCTCTGAAATTCTCCTTCTGTCAGTTTAATTCCGTGATCGATGAGGAAGAGCACGAGAAATGGCCCGGCACAGCTGGCTTCCCCGTTAGCCCTAGCAGGGATTCCTGGCCTTGCTGGCGACGGCTGAGTGAAATGTTTGCGGAACACAGAGAACACAAGTCAATAACAATTTAGCTGGATTGGGAGCAAGTACCTTCCCCACACGGACAGCCGCTCCCGGGGGAAGGGGAAGAGAGTGTGCGGGATATTGCCGAAGCACTTGGAATTATTTCCAAAACACCGCCCAGCGAGGCTCAGGCGTGGGGAGTGGAAGGAAGTAGGAGGGGGTGACTGGGCGATACCTGCTCCAGCTGGCCTCCAGGACCCCCAGCCTCCCTGCACTGCTGCAGGGAGAAGGATCTTGCTCTCTGATCATGGCTCCCTGCATGGCCAGCCATGTGCACCACTTGGGCGCACACTTGGGAACTGCCTTGACCGAAAGAATTCCCTCTCCTTGATTTTTCTCCTCTGGATTCAGCCTCCAGCAGCTGAGATAGCCAGGGGTGTGAGAAAGAGTGGGTTTCCCAGGCAACCTCAACCTCTCCTGGAACCACTTCCCAACATGACCAGGAGCTGGAGATAGGTTAAAACACACTACCCTGAACACAAAAAGTTATCATTTCTTTTTTCTTTTTTTTTTTTTAGACTAAGTCTCACTCTGTTGCCCAGGCTGGAGTGCAGTGGTGTGATCTCGGCTCACTGCAACTTCTGTCTCCCTGGTTCAAGTGATTCTCCTGCCTCAGCCTCCTGAGTAGCTAGGATTACGGGCGCACGCCACCACACCTGGCTAATTTTTGTATTTTTAGAAGAGACAGGGCTTCGCTGTGTTGGCCAGGCTGCTCTCGAACTCCTGGGCTCAAGTGATCCACCCACCTTGGCCTCCCAAAGTGCTGGGATTACAGGCATGAGCCGCCACTTTTGGCTGTAAAGTGATCATTTCAAAGAGGTCAGGGATAAATCACCCACATATTCCCACACCCCACCCAGTCTCGGCCTTTCCTGTCAGGACCCGCTATGGCAATCCGGGACAGTTTCCCTCTTTGCCCGCCTCCTGCTGAGGCCTTCAACACCTCTGGAGGAAGGGCTGCTACAGTCAAGTCTTCAGGAGAAAGCAAGAAGGACCCAGGTGAAGGAATGAAAATGGGAAGCTTACAGAAAACCTCTGTCTCCAGGTGGATGGAAGGAACCACGACCAAAGGATATTTTGAATAACAAATTCTGTGGCTTCACATCTTTGCTTGAACTTTCCTGACTGTGAGTTTTAAAGCCCGATGATTATGTTTTCATGGGCAAGATCAAGGTGGCCTATTCGCAAAGGCTGACGTGGGGATAACGGGCTCTCTTGGTCTCCAGTCTTTTGAAAATGTACTGTCCTGTGAATGATTAAGTTATGGAAGTGGGGAGGGGGGGTTAACTCTTGCAGGCTTTAAATATCATCTGTCTGCTGATGACTTCCAAATTTATATCTCAGCCCAGACTTCGCCCCTGAGCTCCCAACTCATAGATCTATCTGCCTGACATCGAGGGGAGTCCTAATAGGTGTCTCAACTTCAACACGTTCAGAACACCCCCGCCCAGCCACCTGTCCTTCCCAGCTTCCTGGGCCTCTGCTCACCATGCAGCACCACCATCCCGTGAGTGGCTTGGAGCAAAAACCTATGCACCAGTTTTGATTTTTCTCCTGCCTTCCAGAAGCAAGTCTGGCTGGCTCTACCTTTACCCAAAATGCTCAATCCACCTGCTTCCCCACCTCCACAGCCTCTGCTCCATGGCCCTTATTGGCCTGGATGGGACCTCTGCCCTCCATTCTTGCCCCTCTACAATGCAGGGGATGAGGTCTGACAGTGTGAATTGGGTCTTGAGACTCTTCTCTTCAAATCTTCTGGGAGCTTCCCACTGCACCTTGAATACAAGCTGGGCTTCCTGCCAGGCCAGACAAGGCCCCAGGAGGAAACCCTGCTGGCTTCTCTGCCTGCTTTGAACACACTCTGACCCCAGGACCTTGGCACCCATGGCTTCTGCTACCTGGGATGGTTCTCCCCAGATCCTTGGCTAGTTGGTCCCTTTGAATCACACAGAAATGCTGACTTGGCAGAAAGACTTTCCAACCATCATATTTGGAATCGCTCCTTCCCCTCTCTGGTGGTCCTGAAGAGCTCATTAGGCTATCCTTTCTTTTCTTTTCGTTTTTAAAAAGAGATAGGGTCTTGCTCTGTTGCCCAGGCTGGAGTGCAGTGGCGTAATCATGGCTTGCTGCAGCCTCGAACTCCTGGGCTCAAGTGATCCTCCCACCTCAGCCTCCCGAGTAGCTGGGACTACAGGTGTGTGCCACCATGCCTGGCTAATTTTTAAAGTTTTTTTTTAGAGACGGGGTCTCGCTATGTGGCTCAGGCTGGTCTCAAACTCCTAGGCTCAAGTGATCCTCCTGCCTCGGCGTCTCAAAGCACTGGGATTACAGGTGTGAGCCACTGTATCAACCATATTTTACCCTTTCTAATTTCCACCGCAGGACTTGGTATCATTAGAACTTTGTTGCTATTTATTTATTTTTTTGGTAGGGCAGGGGAGGGGGGCAATCATCTGTCTCCCTCACTCAAATCAGCTCCATGAGGGAGGACTTTCTCTTTTGTACACTGCTTTGCCCTCAGTGCCTAGAGCACGGCTTGCTAATAAGGTCATCAGTGAAGAACTGTTGAATGAATGAATGAATGAATGAATGGGGCCTCCTATCCAGGGAAGCTGGAGATCTAAGCACAGGACTCCAGGTGCAGGGCACTGGGGGTGCAGTTATGAGGCCTCTAGAGTTATATGCTCTGAGAAAGTGGGGAGTCACCATGGGAGGAACTAGCCACCCCTGGCTTTTGGATAAAATAAGGGCAGCCACTTCAGAAGCCCTAGGGGCTGCAAGGCCTTTCTTTGAAGAGCCAGAAAGTAAATACTTTAGGCTTGGTGGGCCATAGGGTCTCTGTCACAACCGCTCAGCTTTGTCCTTGCAGGGGAAGAAAGTAGCCCTAGACGATATATGAACAAATGGGCATGCCTGTGTTCCAATACAACTTTATTTATAAAAACAGATTGTAGGCTGTGGTTTGCAACTGCTGCTGTAGCTGGATCAGGAGCCCAGATCCAATAAAGAGAGGGCAATTTGGGATTTAGGAGGTGCTGAGGATACAGGGTACGATGGAACACCCAGGTATAGACATTAACTACAGTTCTGCAGTGTCCAGACCGGTATGCCTTCAGACCGGGAACTAACTGCTCTGGGTCTTGGTTTGTGCTTCAGTAAAATGGAAGCAACACTGTTCTTAAGGGAGCTGTGAGCCTGAAATGAGACTGAGTTACGTAAAACCACCTGATATCACTCTCTGCACATGGTAGGTCCATGACAAAGCTTTCTTGCCCTCTTTCTTTCCTTTCCCTCTGATTTGATCTTTATAAGAACTTACATGATTGCCTTTTCAGACCAGCGGTGCTTCGAAGCACCCAGTCAGGAATATCTGGCTTCGACCACACAGGGCTCCAGTGCCGACCGCACACCTGGCTAAGTGTGGGGCTTGGAGCACATTAGCCAGCTTTTCTGAGCCCGGCTTCCTTCCTTGTGGGGTGACTGTGAAGATGAACTGAGTTAACGCTCACACAGTGTCCAGCACCTGTTAGATGCTCAATTAAATTCTAATCATCATTCTGATGATTAGGTTCTTATGTATGTTCATTTTTTCACCCCACAAATGGTCACTGAGTGCCTCCTCTCTGTTAGATGTGGGGCCCAGGCAGGTTGGTCAAAGGGCCTTGTACCCCCGCAAAGGATAAAGTGTCACACGGAGAAGGATCTTAATTGCACACGTGAGCACCTGACGGCAGGCTGTGGTACTCGAGGAGGACCAGGGGAGGGGCATGACAAGGGAATCACGAAAAGGAGAGGTGTGGGGGAAAAGCTGCATCTTTGACACTCTGGCTGGGAGGCAGTGGGGGCCGGGGTCAGTGGGGGCTGCCGGGACCAGGGCTCTAGCAAGCAGGCTCCTTCCCTGCTCCTCGCGAGGCTGGGAGGGTGACTGTTTGCTGGAGGCCGGCGACCCATGGGGACAGCCACCCGTCTGTGCCGGAAGAGCACTTCTCCGGGCACTCTGCTCATAGATCTCCCGCCCCAGCCCAACCTGGCTTGGGCAGGCGGGGGAAGGCCCCACTGCCAGCCACTCGCCATGCTGGTCATGTCTGCGCTCCCAGCTCTGGAGGTGAAAGGTAGAGACGCTAACCACAGCCCATCAGTCCTCCCCAGCTGGAATAAGACAACATGGGAAGCAGAGCCACGCTCCCAGCCAAATAAAAGCCTGTTTGCCCAGCCTCCCTGGCTGTGAGTGCTGTAAAACACAGGGTTCTGCGCACGGATTTCTTCCATACCATTATATTCTCTCGGCTGCGCTCGCAGGTACTGTGGCCTGCCGCGGCCCTGAAAGCTTCTCGATGCCGTGACCCTGCTGGTTTGTAACACGCTCAGGAAGAAAAGGACACAGCCAGCGGCGGACTTTCCTCTTTCTTCCCTCCTTGCTCTCTCTTTTCAAACTCCCACATGCAAGGCAGTGAAGAATAGCACTTCACCTACCACGGGGCTGCTGCGCTGGAGATGAGAAACCTGATTCTTGGCCAGCAAGGAAGGGAGGGAGGTGCGGGGCAGTGGGCAGGGGCAGGAAGAGGACAGGGGAGATGGGGAGGGCAGTTTGGTGGAAAACGTCTGTCTTGCTATTCCCTTTTGAAAGCATCTCTGTCTGGTGTCAAGGTCTTTGCCTACTCAGGCCAACTTTTACAATGACTTTCAAAGCCCTGTCCTTCGCTGTTCAATTTGACAGGTGTTTTGCAAGCATCAACTTGCAAGGAAAAATATAATGCCCTGCCATTATACAGGGACAATGGATAAAATGAAGGCTTCCGCTTGGTGGGGAGGGGCTGGGGGGTTTACAACAAGTTTCTTTTGTCTGCCAGTAAGGAACCTGGATAAGCAGAGAGCTCGAGTCTGGGCGTGGAGCATAATGAGTTACTGTAACTGACTTGGAAGGCAGGACATTACGGTTGCTGCTTGAGCAGTGAGTCCTCCTCCTTCTCCTCATGGCACCTGGGCACTAATAAGCTCCTATTAGGTGCCAGGCTCTGTGCTATGCCATGGAGACAAGGGAGAACAGGTGGCATCTGTGGCCAGATATAAACATCCTATCCCAAGCAATGCTTATGTGTCAGGCATACCTGTCCTCCTACTTACTACATACATACACACACACACACACACGTGTCCCAAGCAATGCTTATGTGTCAGGCATACCTGTCCTCCTACTTACTACATACACACCCCCCCCCCCCCCACATACACACACACACACACACACGTGTCCCAAGCAATGCTTATGTGTCAGGCATACCTGTCCTCCTACTTACTACATACACACACACACACACACACACACACACACACACACACGTCCCAAGCAATGCTTATGTGTCAGGCATACCTATCCCCCTACTTACTACATACATACATACATACATACATACATACACACACACGTCCCAAGCAATGCTTCTGTGTCAGGTATACCCATCCTCCTACTTAATATACACACACAGACACACACACAGACACACACACACACTCTCACGTGCTACTGCCCAGGCTTATAACCCATCCTCCTAATACACACACACACACACACACACACACACACACGTGTGCTACTGCCCAGGCTTATAAACACCAGGGCTCATCTCTGTGTCTTGGTCCTTTGCCCAGAGAGCATCCTCCCTTAGCCTGGCCTGACTGGAATGCAAAGAAAGTGGGAGTATTTTTGGCAACTCAGAAAAGGAAGAGTGAGTGCCCCGAAGGACCATGAGGCCCCTCAACAATCCTATTTGTTGACTGCACGTGATGTGCCAGGAGCTGTGCGCCATCTCCTTTACAGGCATCCTTCCCTTGGAGCCCCACCGTTTCCCTAACGAGGTGGGCGCTGTGGCCCCATCGTACCAATGACGGAGCTGAGGCAGAGCGACTTGCCTGAGGTCACAGAACGGGTATGAGGACACATTCAGGTAAAATGCAAGGGGCAGCCGCTCAGATCAGCTGATACAAATACTCGGTACAGCAGGATGGTGGAAAACACAGGTTTGAATCCTGGCTCTGTGGTCAGTAGCTGGGTGCCCTTGGGCAAGTTACTTGCCCTCTCTGTGCCTTAGTTTTCTCATATTTAAAACAGAGGATTGCGACAGTACAGTAAATTGACAGGTTCATAGATTCTTGGAAATCTCACAACTTTTAGTGAAAAGATGTATAACAAACTCAATGTTACCACAGGCATTAGCCTTGGATGTAAACAAGAGCTAAACTCCTACACACTAATGTATTTCTAGTAACAAAAACATCACCAAACTTCTGAATAAAGACACCAAAACGTCTAAATATTAAACACTGAAATAAATGTGAGCTATATATACATTTAAGACAGATCAGTAAAAACAAGGAAGATAATGATTTACCCAACGATTCCAGTTCAGGGCTGCAGGGGGCCAGAGCCTCTCCTGGCAGCTCAGGACACTGGGAGGGAACCCACCCCGGGTAGGGCACCGATCACACACATAACTGCACTCACCCACTCTGGGACCACTGAGACTTGCCAATTCACCCAGCGTGCATGGCTTTGGGATGTGGGAGGAAACCAGAGGACCTGGAGAAAACCCACATGGGGTGAACACACAAACCCCACAGGGTGAGCATGCAAACTCCACGGGGAGAATACGTAAACTCCATGGGGAGAGCATGCAAACTCCACAGGATGAGCATGCAAACTCCATGGGGAGAACACACAAACTCCACGGGGAGAACATGCAAACTCCACGGGGAGAACATGCAAACAACATGGGGAGAGCATGCATACTCCACAGGGTGAGCACACAAACACCACAGGGAGAGCACACAAACTGCACACAGACAGTGGCCCTGGATGGGAAGCTATTTTTTTCTTATCAATTATGATAAAATGATGTTATCTGAGGACCTGTATTTACCTCCCAGGATTCTGCAGGACTCGTTCCCATGAAAGCTTGCAGATAGTACCTGGCCGCCAAGTAAGGCTTGACCCATGAAGATTGCTAGTTACAGTAACGATAATAATAATTGGTATTATTTAGCTTGAACTACAAATTGAATGTTCTACTATGACCTAGGTGCTCAGGGACCCAGGGAAGATGAGGCCAGTCCTGGGAGCTGGGAAGCTGAGCCCAGGGGCAGGGGCACTCAAGGGTAATTCACGCTGGTGGGGCACGGACCACATCAAGGGCTTCGGCTGGTGCCAAAGCTCCACTCTATCTGCTCTGGCCACTTCCCACTGTCCCTGAGTGCGGCTCACAGGCTACGGTGTCACCGGCATCTTCCTGCCAGGCCCTGCCGAATGGTTAAGATGCCTGCCTGCCTTTCATTCTGTGGCCCACATTCTGCAGAGAGCTCTTTGTTGTGGCCTCAGAGCTCGGCAGTCTCCACCTGAGATCTGAGTGCCTTCCTGGCAGAGTTCAGGGCCGAGGCCAGAGCCAGGGGAGGGAACTGGGCATGGACACCACCTGCTCTTAGGGTCTGCCAGGGCCCCAGGAGCTCTGAACAATGCGGATTTTCACACAAATGAACTGAGTTATTTTTCTCCATGGGAAAAGGGCACAGGGTGGGGAGAAGGGTCTGGCCAGGAGGGCAGGAGGCCAGCAGGCCTATTCTGAACATTTGAGGCTGCTGTGGGCACCTCCTGTGTCCCAGAGACATCAATCGGACAATAGGTGTTTCAGTGGGTGAGAGAGACTGACATCTCTAGCACGCCTGCTCTGTGCTGGACACACTCCAGGCATCACCTCACTTTCCCAATCCAGTGTCACACTCCCAGGGGAGGACGGATAGAGAGGTAAACCTGACTATCGTTTCAAGTTCAACCATTCACTACCTGTGTGACCTTGGGCAAGGTGCTTCATCTCTGCGTGCCTCAGTTCCCCTATCTGCAGAATGGGGAGATGAACAGCACCTCACTCACAGCGGTGGTGTGTGAATGACATGAGACCCCTCACTGCAAGGGATTTAGAAGAGTTCCTGGTCCCCAGTAAGGAAAGCTGCTACTATGGCTTTTGTTACTTCCCTGATCACTGTCAAATCAATGCCAGAAGGGGTACCCCTGTTAACATCTTTCAAATGAGAAAACAGAAGCTCACAGGGAGGAACGACTTGCCCCAGGACAACAGCCAGAATGCGGAATCCAGGTCTTGCCCTGGAACACACAGCCAGAATGCAGAATCTGGGTCTTGCTGACTCCAAAGTTGATGCTCTTTTTCCTAAGCTGGTGGTTCCTAAACCTTTTGGGGCCCATGACCTCCTAGAAATCTGATGAAAACAAAAGATCCTCTTGCCACACACGCAGACACAAACGCAATTACCAGGCATTCCCAGTCCCTCTGAGGCCAGCCATACGGGGACCCAGGTAATGCAATTACCAGGCGTTCCCAGTTCCTCTGAGGCCAGCCATACTGGAAGACAAAGTTTCATGGATTCTTAGTTAAAAAACAATCCCCATCTTACATCTTGCTGTATTCTACAGAGGGTGTTCTTTTGTTTTCAAGGGATTATCATGTTTCTTTGGAAAAGAGTGCTGAAAAATGCAATGAGGAATTCAGACTCTTTGGCTCCAAACTCTCAGGCCACCTTCTTGCCCCCTCTTCCTGGTCCACACAGGTGAGGCCAGCAGGGAGGTCTGACACTCTGCTGTGCTTGGCCCTGATGCCTGTGGATGGGTCACATCCAGGGCCATATCAGCATCCTCTCCAACCTGGGCATCGTTTCTCAGGGCTGCTCCTGCCCCCGGGAAAACATAACCCCTACCTCTGGCAACATGCCCTGACATGTACGTAGGTTACCATACACACTGGACATTCTCTGTCTGGTCCCTCCACATCCATCCTCTGTCCTGCTCCATCCCCGGAAGGCTGAACCCTACTGAACGTGTCACAGGGACAATTTGGGCCTGTGGCCGACAGGTGGGATGGCCTGATGGGAGGCCGTGGCCGGAGAGCAGACGGCTGCAGGAGAGAGAGCTGCAGCTGTTCTGTCCCCAGCCCCTTCTTCCTGCTTTGCTGCTGCCCTCTGGCAGGGGCTGTGTCCCTCCACACTGCAGTGCCCACTGGTAGCTGCTCCTAGGCTCCTGTCCTCACTGGACCCCAGGAATATCACTTCCTCCCCCTGCCCTTTCAGCCCCTGGGGTGGTTAAGAGCTCTGACACTACTCCGCTCTGGGAGCCCCAGCAACCTGTTGCTCCATGGGCACTGCCTATACCCCCGTAAGCTGCCATTGCATGACAGGGTCTTTCTATGAGGCTCCTGTGCGAATTCTGCTCCCCCCTGGGGCCTTGGCCCATCTCCCGTGGCACTGGGGAAGGGTTCGTTAGTGCTCATCTTTGACATACTCGGGGAGCCCAGAGCTGATGTCCCCTTCCAGAACCTGGGAGGGCAGTGCTCTTTCAGAGGGACTCAGAGGGGTGGAAACACATGGCTCTGACACTCAAGCCCGCCCTGAGGGGCCTTATCTCACCTATGCATGTCAGCTTCCTCATCTGTACAATGGGGACAATGAAACATGCACATAACAGGGCCTTCTATGAGCACATGCTGTGCCAATTCTGAAGGGCCAGCAGTGTTTGTCATTATGATTTGTTATTCATTCTCTCAGTTTCTGAAGGAACCCTGCAGATCTTGGGTTCATGGTCCCGATGAGTTAGAAGGGCCAAAGCCATGAAGTCAGTGAACACTCACATACCCCAGGTTTAGTGACGGCCTGGGACTTTCTTTTTCTTTTCTTTTTTTTTTTTTTTTTTTGAGATGGAGTCTCGCTCTGTCACCCAGGCTGGAGTGCAGTGGTGTGATCCTGGCTCACTGCAACCTCCGCGTCCCGGGTTCAAGTGCTTCTCCTGCCTCAGCCTCCCAAGTAGCTGGGACTATAGGCATGCGCCACCAAGCCTGGCTATTTTTTTGTATTTTTAGTAGAGACGGGGTTTCACCATGTTGGCCAGGCTGGTCTCAAATTCCTGACCTCAAGTGATCCACCCACCTCGGCCTCACAAAGTGCTGGGATTACAGGCCTGAGCCACTGCGCCTGGCCAGGAGTTTTTTCTTGAGTGACGTTTGCTAGTATAACATAGTTGGGGCCAGTGGGTGGGGTGGGAGGCTCTACAGCCGGTCTGGAGATCAAGTCTGAGCTCTGCCACTTCCTTGCTGAGTAGACATAGCACTGCCTACAGCTGCTACAGTTGCTGTGAGCACTGAGATGATGCCGGTGTGAGGATGGCCCCCTGATGCACAGTAAGTGCTTAATAAACAGTAGTCGTCATAAATTACTGCAGTGCTTGGCAGGCCTCAGTTCTCTCATCTGTGAAATGGGGCTAATAGTGTCCATCTCATAGAGCTGCTAGGGAGTGAATGGGAAGATGTAGGCAAATGAAGAACTGTCTTTGTTACTGTTATCATTCTATCTGCCCCTGTCTGGGCCTTGGCCTGGCTGGTAAGTGGCTGTGGAGACAGTCAATCCCACAGAAATGCTGCCAGCTAAGTCTTTCCACTGTGGCGAGGCAATAGTGCTGTCTTTGGAACTCAATTTATTGAAGGGGGCTTCTCTCTAAGGCAGGGCAGAACCGCTGAGCCTGCACTCCTCGGCTGGCCCCGGGGTTGGGGGATGGGGGTGGCGGGGCAGATGGGCCCCCGTCTCCACTCCAGGGAGAGTCCCTTACACAAACATTTGCCGACGGGCGCATTTGGGCTTGTCAATGGTTGTCGATAAGGACAGGCTCTCTTTCTGCACATCAGGATTTGGGGTCTTATTGAGTTGTGAGCTTGCAACTGTGTATTTAGCCTTCATTTCTCTGGTTCCACATTTGCCTCAGCTCGAATATTCCCCAGTCTGAGACTGGGAGCCTGGCATGTGCCAGGTACTATGCTGGGCACGGGGGACCCAGGGAAGAACTGATCACTAAGAGAGATGAGCACGACACAGCCCCCATGTGGGGAAGGCACGGGTCCAGAGAGGATAACAAATCGTAAAGAAATAAGTTACAACGTGGCAAGAAGGCACGGTGACAGAAGAGGAGAGTAGAGGATGGAGAAATTACTGATACCTGTGGAGGGGGAGGGAAAGCGAAGGCTTCCTGGAGGAGGTGTCATTCTATCTGGGTTTTGAAGGCATTTATCAGGTTAAAAAAAAAAAGTGAGGGGCAAGGCATTCTAAGCAGAGGGAACAGCATGTGCAAAGGCACAGAATCCTGTCTGGAGTCTGGGGAACAATGAACTCTGTGGGAGGTGTGGTGGGAGGAAGGAGGAGTCTGGGAAGACCACAGTGTGGGCAGGAGGCAGTGTTCTGAAGCGTGTGGCAGCTGGGCTAGAATCAAGGGGCTTCCCTGCTATCTCTGGAGTTCCAAGTCCACTTGTGGGGGATGCAGTCCTGCTGCATTGCTGAGACGCTGCTTCTCAGAAGCCCAGTCGTTTCGCCCTAAGCAAGACCAGTGGCCCCACTGGAAGGCTCCTATCTCCATAAGAGAAACTGTTCCCAAGGTGCTGCCTGGTTTGGCAACAGAGCTGCACCGGTCAGGCGAGGGAATAATCACTCCTGGCTCCAGGTTCCATGTCTACGCAGAGAAGTGGGGTTGGGGGATGCTGGCAGCAAACACCCCTAGTCTGTACCCAGGTGACACCCGAGGCCCTGAGCTGCCCCACAGAGAAGGGATGGATGAGGGCACAATGGTGGCTCCATCCAGGAAAGGTCCTGAGACCTGGGACCCAGGCGACAATGAGGTGGGGAGGAATGCGGTGGCGTGCCAGGAAGACCTCAGAGCACCATGGGTGGCACCACAGACAGGACTGTTCCCCATCACGGAGCCTGGCTTTTCTGGGCATGCAAAAGGCAGAGAAGCTCCCCAGCTGGGTGAACCATCGCCAAGTAAGCGGGATCCAAAGTGGGTGGAAAGCCAGCAGCTGCCCTTTTGCTGCCGGGCCCAGGCCACAGTGGAAGCACTTCTGTGATGGGAGGCGGAGGTGTGGAGATGGGGATCAAGGTCAAGTACCCCTTGATATCCCAAGTTTGGAGGGTGTGTACCTGACAGCAAGGGGCACCTGCCATACTTTCCATGTGTCCAGGGTGGAGCGATTCTTGGGGCTGTCTCACCCTCTCCTCACCTGACTGAACACAACCTCTTGGAGAAGACGAGGCCCTGCTGACCTCATCTGCTCCCTCTCTCCTCCCCTCACCTCCAGCCATGCTGTCCTCCCTGTTTCTCACACATACCGAGCTTGCTCCAACCTGGGGGTCTCCCCTGCCCCTGGCCTCCTGCTTAGGCAGCCCTTTGTTGGGTACAGATGTCACCTCTGCAGTGAAGCCTCTCTAGCCCACCTGATGAGGAATGTGTCCCAGCCTCTTCCACCTGAGCCTAGGGCCCTGCTTGGTTACTGTCATGTGGGTGCATGAGGTCACAGCGGGCGCTCAGTATTTTCTGGCCACCACCTGAATAGTCACTGAGGCCACATGACACCACCAAGGTGGGTAAGAGGTGAGTGAGACCTGTGGGCATCAGCCCTCCGGCAGGAAGTGGACCGGGTCATGGAGGAAAGTGATCAGCAAGAGTGTGGTCCCCAGGGCTGGCCACCAGGAAGGCCGTGAGCATCCCTGCCCTGCGGACACCGGAATCTGAACACAGAGCACTGTGAGGACAGAGCCAACGGCCACGAGCTGTGACCTGGCAACCTGGCAGGCAGGGAGGGATAAACACTCTGACCTCTGTCTCTTCCTGCCAAGGCCCCCAGTGACCTAACCCGACTGCAACCCAAAGGGGCACAGAACCCAGATGCTTCCATGTAGGCCAGCCTCCCGGCAGGGAGTGCCCAAGGAAGGTGGACAGCAGGTCTGGAGGGGCTGTGGGAGGATGCCCAGCAGGAGGTGCTTGGCAGCCCTTGTGCCCATAGCCTGCTGGGTCGAGGGCAGTTCTCTCAGATGTCCCACCCACCTCTTGTGTTCCCCAGGGGGCCCATGAGTCAGCCCAAAAGACCGTCCCGCTCCTACCGTGAAAGTGAGCGGCCGTCTTCCGCCGCAGGGCCTGCAGGGTCACCTCGGAGTCGGCCCACTCCAGCACCAGCCTCCGCCCGTACAAGTGGGTGCTGTGACACAGGGCGTTGAAGGCTCTCTGCAGAGGGACAAGAAACGAAACTGCACATCAGCTGGATCAGTGCGGCAGACACTCCACTCTGCCTGCCAGCTGCCTGCCTGCGTCTCAGATGCCAAAGCCCAGGTTCTGGCCCCGTGACATCTGATCTCCAGCGAGGGTTTGGGGAGCGGTTGGGCACATCTATTTAATTAGTGGGTTGCATTCCCAGGGAGAAAGCTGCAAGTGACTGAGCAGTCAATATATCTGCCGTCTGGGCTGTAATTGGTGCCTGGGCTGAGGCAGCCGTCTATTTGCCGTGTGTCATCCGATCTGTGGAGGGCGACCCCATTAGTGGGCTCGCCTCCCACCCGGCTGTCTGCATGGCGGCCACTTGAGAAAGCCGAGCCCTGGCCGGCTGCTGGATGACAAGCGTGCAGGCCTCTGGGTGTCACTGGGTGTCGCTCTCCTTCACTGCCCTGGTGACTCTGTCCCCCACGCTGCTCTTGAAGGGGCCCCTTCTGTCTCTGCTGCCAGTGCCCTTCGCTTCCTCGCTGGTTCCCCCAGCCCTGCGCTCCCAACTCCCGCTCCCAGCTCCCACCCCCAGCTCAGCAGCCTGGGTCCTGGCACAGGCTGTTCCCGCTTACTCTTTGCTGTTCCCGACTCCCACATGCTGCCTGGTTCCCTCTTTCTGCTTTTTAACAGCTATACTGAGACAGAATTCACATACTATATACACTGCTTGTCTGAAGACAATTCAATGCGTTTTAGTATAATCGCAGAGCTGTGCAAAATGTCATCAAATCAATTTTAGAACATTTTCATCACCCCCAAAGGAAACCCCACACCCCTTAGCTAGCAGTCCCCCAGCCCCTGGCAACCACCAGTCTGCTTTCTGTCTCTATGGATTTGCATATTCTGGACATTTCATAGGAACGGAATCATACGGTAGTGATCAGTACCGTCTTAAACATCGCTAGGTCTCAAGTTCAATGGCACTGCACAGGGACGCCCTAACTTGATGGGCTCATCCCCAAACACTCCCACGGCACAGAGAGGCCGTGAGCTTAGTGGCCAAAAGCTTGGAGTCTGAGGTCACCCTGACCAGGAAGGACAGACCCCGCAGGTCCTAACTTGAAGATCTTGGGCAAGTTAAAGAAATCTTCCTGGACTCTGTTTCCTTATCCATAAAACGGGTATGTTCATATATGCCAATCTCAAGGGTTCTAGGGACAAAAATGAGTTAACAGCGTCTAGAACAGTATGGGCACACCATAATTACTCAATAGATGCTACTTCTCGTTGCTGTTGTTTTGTTACCGTAGACATCACATTTGCAGCTGCTTTCTCTCAGCAGACAGCTTTCGGGCAGGCATTAGTTTAAAGAGCAGTAGGCTCCAGGTGCTTGAGCATTGGCAGTGGAGAGCAACGGTGGCTAAGAAGGCCCTTTGCTTTGCTTCTGGGTTGCAGAGAGCACCAGTGGGTACAAGAAGAGGAGGGGTTTGCTGCTCTTGTTTCTTTTATGCTGTGAAGAATCATATAACTGGAAGGGTCTGGATGGGAACCCATCCAACTGTGCTCCTTATCTACACTGTAGCTCCTATGGTCAGACCCTGTCCCGCAAGAGGGGCCATGTTGAGTCCTAACCCCCTGTGCTTCAGTATGTGACCTTATTTGGAAATAGGTAGCTGCAGATGTAATCAGTCAAGACGAGGTCATACTGGAGAACAGCAGGCCCTGAGCCAATGACTAGTGTCATTGGATGGCCATGTGAAGACAGAGACACATGGCAAATGCCGTGGGGAGATGGAGGCAGAGACTGGGTGATGAGTCTACAAACCAAGGATGCCAACTGTCCCCAGCAGCCAGGGGAGAGGCACCAAACAGGATTTCCCTCGGAAGGAACCAATCCTGCCAGCACCTTGATTTTGGACTTCTGGCCTCCAGAACTGTGAGACACATTTCTGGATTTTTAAAATGTGTTTTGAGGCAAGGTCTCGCTGTCACCCAGGCTAGAGTGCAGTGGTGTGATCATGGCTCACTGCATCCTCGAACCCCTGGGCTCAAGCAATCCTCCCACCTTGGCCTACCGAGTAACTGGGACCACAGGCACATGCTGCAATGCCTCGCTAAGTTTTTAATTTTTTGTAGAGACGGGGTCTCCCTACATTGCCCAGGCTGGTCTTGAACTCCTGAACTCTAGTGATCCTCCTGCCTCAGCTTCCCAAAGTGCTGGGATTACAGGCCTGAGCCACTGTACCCAGCCCATTTCTGTGGTTTGAAGCCATCCGGTCTGTGGCGTTTTGTTATAGTAGCCCTAGGGAAAGGACGCAATGCCCTTGGGTAATCAACTGCCACATCTTGAGCCTCCGTTTCCTCATCCCTATTGGGGCTGGCTGTGAGATTTACACAAAACGAGCACAGAGGGCAGCACATAATACACATTCAATAAACAAATGAATCCGAAGAGACAAAAGGGAGGTGACTAGAACATGCATCTTTTTAAAACTAGACATGCAGCCAAATTAAAGAAACGCTTTGTTCTCTTCTGTGCTGTTCTGTGAAGGACCAGGTGCAGAAAATTTTTTCTTTCCTTTTTTTTTTAACTTTAATTTAAAAAACTCTTTCTGACTGCCAGCAGAGCCTCTGCATTTTTTTCCATGTGGATATAAAAATGCATCTGGACTCTGAGCCGAAATGGCCCATTCAGAGCTTTAAAACACACGCGTTCTCAGCTGGCGAGGCAGAGAAATGGCTTGACTGGGGGAGCTGGGGTTTTAAGATGGGGGAGAGGAATTGGTGGGGAGTCTGGTGTGGCGGATGTTCCATCCTCGTGCCAGGGTCCCTGAGGAGCTGTGGTCCCGGGGACACGGTGGGGTGGGGGTGGCCAAGGGGATGCATCTGGTGAATGCTAGGCTGGAACTCTCAAGAACGGAATAAGATCCCAGGAGGTAGGTCCGGGTGAGAGGCCCCAACCCCAGCCTCTCTGTTTCCCACTGTCAGATTTCAATGTTTCTTTCTCTCCCTTGGAAGCCAGTTCTCTATTCCCGTACCACAGAAAGCCCAGGAGATCTCTATTCATTGCAGGAGTCACTAAAAATTCCCTCTTTTGGCTTCTTTGCGACATCACCTCTCACAAATCTTTCTCTCTTCCCTCTGCACTCCTCTGACACGTTATTGGCCTCTCTCTGGAAGAGCTCTTCATGGTAAGAGGGGTGGTGGCATGGCAGTTTAGAGGGTGGGCTCTGCTGCTGGCCTGCCTTGGTTCAAATCCCTGCTCCAGTGCTTATGAGCTGTGTGATCTCAGGCAAGCTGCTGAACCTCTCTGAGCCCGAGCTTCCTCATATGTAAAAGGAGGGCAGCAGCAAAGAGTAGTGAGAATTCAGAGAACTGTTAAGTCTGACACTTAGAACACTGGCACATAACATGTGTCACTTAAGATTGGCTGTTATTATGATGATGTATGCCTCCACTTTTCATTATCAGGCTAAAGAGTGGGGAGAAGGGAAGGTAAGACACAAAAGCTCTTTTGTATTTGAAGTTAGAGCACAATACGTGGTTCTCCAAAAATAGCAGAATTACCCTGCTGAGTTCTAGTCCCTGCAGGTTAATATGAAATCAGGTTGCATTCCCAAGTGCCCACTGCCTGGGTGGCTGGAATGTGGTGGCCTCAAACTGTCGCAGGCAGTGTGAGGACAGTGATTTGAGGCTAAAATAGGCCTTGGATAATCCAGAGTAATTGTGTTTCATTAAAAGAGCATAACGAGAGCTTGTTATATTTGACACATTCTAGGGGCAAGGCAGGTGGGGAGGAGGAGGAAGATGCAGGCCCGGGTCTCAAGGGGCTTTTGGGTTGGCACAGAAAAGACTGTGAGGAGCTTGGAAGGTTCCAGCCATCACAGAGGGAAAAGCACAAGCCAGAGAGGTCCACTAGCAGCTCCCTCCCTGGTGTCTACCTACACTTGACCCCACTGAAACTTGACCTCCACCTTCTCCCAAGCGTTTTTCTAAACCTCAGCTGCGGGCAAGATGCTCCTCTGCCAAAACAGCCCCTGGGCTTGTTCATCTCAGGAGACTGAGGAGTTACTGCACCTTTGTTCCTCTCCAAGTCTGGCTCCTGCTGTCTGATTTTCCTTTTGTGGCATCGAAGGCCTTCTTAGCATGGATGATCCTATCTCCTAGCTCCACGGCACTCCAAGCATATGACCTCAGCCTACTCCTGAGAACAGACATTATTCTCCTATTTCAATGAATGGGAAACTGAGGCACTGGCCAAGGTTTGTATGCAGGTCAACTTCCTTCTCCTTCTTCCTTTTGGCCTCTACACGTTGTCTCTGGCCCCTTACACAGACGGCCCAGGGAGGGTTCTGCTCCTCCTGCACAGGCAACAGCCAGGCACCCTCCCTGTGCCCTGGACACCTGGCCTCCGTTTCCAGAACCTGCTCCCTGCCCCATAATGCCTTCTGTGTGCCAGTCTTCCTGACTCAATCTTGAACCCTGGAGGGAAGGCGCTCCATGCTTAAGATCCTCAGCCTGGTGCTGGGGCAGAGGCCACTCAGTCAATGTTCACAAAGCACACTGTGGCGTCTCCTTCACTGGGTGTCTTGAGAACACGTCTCCAGACTGGGGTAGATGGTTAGGCTGGTCCTAGCTGGGGACGCAGGGCTGGCTTAGACGTCCTGCCACAGTTCCCTTCAAACCCCTGCACTTTATAGACTACAAACGCAACGGGGATAGGAGTATGTCCCGTTCTGAGAGAGCAGGCAGTGCCTGACCATCCAGACGAGTGGGACATTTGGCCTTTTGAAACGATACACAAATAATCTTGGGTCTGGCTCTGCTCCCAACATGCCTGGCTTGGGGCTTTGCAGGATGGGAACAGTAACCTGCACCACTATGGCTCGAGAGATCGCATGTCAGACCCCCAGATGGTCTGCTGGAGAGGCCTGAAGATCCAGCACAGAACCCCGAGGATGCAGGAGTCCAGCAAAACGAACGTCACAGAAGAGAAGCCACCTCTGCTCTTGGGAGCACTTCCTGCCATCATTGATGGCCAGGGCTGATTATTCCTGGTCCCTCCTCCCCCATCCTCTACGCTTTAGGAGCCAACTCTGCACAGTGTGACCAGGGCTCCCTTGGCCTCTGGTTTCTACTGAGGTGAAGCAAATGGGTGGCACTTCTGGGAGACTGGAGGAAAGAGGGGAAGAGGGAGGAGAGAGGTTGGTGCTGCGTACCTCCCCCTCCCTGCAGGGCTATAGCTCCTGCTCAAGGCCTCTCCTCAGCAGCTCCAGCCCTGGCTTTCCTTCCAACCCTCCTCTTGGCCTAAGGGAGATGACAGTTCTGGGGGCTTCGCCATCCCTGGGGAATCCCTTAGCCCTACCTATGCCTCCATAAATACCTCTTCATTCACACCACCTGGGGGTGGGGATAGATTCTGTTTCTTGCCAGATCCCTGGCAGGATCTGGAGTCCCTTTGCCTTGACCGGGGGACAGGTGGATTTCCTACTTCAGATGGGGTGTCTCGCATGCCTTGGCCCTACTCAGAATTTGAGGCCTACCCAGGAAAGCTCTGAGCAGGTCTAGCCAGACTCCAGGGCTGCCCTCATGATCCAGCTCTCTGGCTCTGCTGTCCTGAAATCACAGCTCTTTGAGCTCCTCTGACTCAAGCCATGGACTCCAGGCATCAAGAGGCCTGGCCTCCTGCCGCCTTTTCTGAATTCCCTTAGAAGGCAATCTGCTAAGGTGGTGTGGGGTTGACAGCTGCAGGCTAGACTGTGGCCCAGCCTGGTGGCCTCTTTCAAGAACTGGGAAGGCATTGGAAGGCTGCCATTGCAGCACTGGGCCTGACCTTTCTGCAGCTTCCCTGGAGACAGACCTCCTCTCAGCAACAAAAGGCATTGCATGCCCTTGGCAGGACTTCCATCCCAAGGGGCTGCGAAGAACTGCCCAGGGCCACGGCTTCTGGGCAGAGCTGAGGACAGTATTCCTGTCTTTAGAACTCTAAGGCATTCTCCTGGCCCCTTCTGCTCCTCAGGGAGCTGTCCCTGGCAAAGCCAGAGGGCTGCATCTCTCAGCAGACGATAAATCTGTCCTAACAAGGACGACATCAACCCCTCCGAAACCTGCTGTGCCCCCAACACCTAGAGTAAGTGGCTGGCACTGTTGGGGGCTCTCTGCAGAGGTGGTCAAAAAATTGAGGCCAAGGACTTCTGGGAGGAGGGTCTGCCTCCCTGGGGTGTTTTAACGCCATCACCCTGAGAGAGAGATAGATCCTTTCCTTCGGTCCCAAGGCTCCCACTGTCCTGTGAGTAAGCTCTCAGCAAACCTCACTAGCTGCTTCCATCCTCACAGGGTAGCTGTCTGCTAGGCAGGAGTTTGCCCAGAATAAGTTAAGCTCCCTGCACAATCTTGGGTGACTCCCATCCCGGTCCCTTCCCAGAAATGACACCATGGAGCTGAGGGTGAACTTCTAGGAGAGACATCCAGGGTCAGCTTCTGGGTGATGCTGTCTGAACTCTTCAGACAAAGAGGCACCTCTCCCTCTCATTCATTCATTCCCTAGCTCGCTCAGCTCAGTGCGATTCGGCTCAAAGTCTCTGGGGAGCTGATTGTGAGGCAAACATGAGACGAGGAGACAAAAGTGGGACACACTTTGGACCTCTGCAAGTTTATAGCACCCCTGGGAGAGGAAAGAGAGCCACTAGGGAGAGAGGGCCAATGCCAGGGACCCAAGGGCACCAAGCCACAAGGCCACGGGCAGCACGGACAGCTGAGGCTCTGGGCTCCCCTCAGGCACAGGCCTGGGCCTGCTGCTTTCAATAAACTTCTCTGAGTTTTCAATTTTTCAACTGCAAAATGGGGGTGCTTCAGCCTCTCAGAGCTGCTGGGAAGCATAAATAAGACAGCAACTCTTCCTTTAGCCCAACGCCTGGCATAATGGGAAGGGCCTAATTCCTGGTACCTGTTGCTGGTGCCATTTGTGGTAAAGTTTTTTTTTTTTTTTTTAATTTAAATTATTTTAGGCTGGGTGCGGTGGCTCACGCCTGTAATCCCAGCACTTTGGGAAGCCGAGGCGGTGGGAATCACTTGAGGCCAGGAGTTCGAGACTAGCCTGACCAACATGGAGAAACCCCGTCTCTACTAAAAATACAAAAATTAGCCGGGTGTGGAGGCGCACGTCTGTGATCCTAGCTACTTGGGAGGCTGAGGCAGGAGAATCGCTTGAACCGAGGAGGTGGAGGTTGCAGGGAGCAGAGAACATGCCACTGCACTCCAGCCTGAGCGACAGAACGAGATTGTCTCAAAAAAAAAAAAATTATTTTAATGCTGTTAAAAGGGAGGAAGGCTGTCAAACTTGGCTGGGAGTTTTACCTTTCCTTGATGACTAGTACGGCCTGCCTGATAAATCTGAAATGAGGACGTCTGAACCTGAGTCCTTCTCACTCTGATCTCTGTAGGACTGTGCAGTCCTCAGTCCGCACAGAAGCTCCAGGGACACAATTAGCAGGGGGGTCCGTCCTGGCACTGAGTCTTGGCCACAAGGGCTGCTCACCTGCCCATCTGAGGAGGGCAGCCTGTCCTGATCCCAGGTCTCAGCCCATATACATGTGTGCTGGCTGAGCCTGCCTTGAAATGCAAGCTCGGGATTCAAACACATTTTCAATTCCTCCAGGGCTCTGCTGAAGAAAACTTGGCAAAAAGCCCACAATTACAAAACAGTCATGAGCGCACACACGTCACATGCACACCTGAACAGAAAAGTGGGGACAAAACTCCAATTCCTGAATTTGCTTTCGGTTAACATTTTGGGACACACAGGACAATGGACACCTAGGTTTCAGGCTGCAGCACCTCTGATCCCTGGGGGCCCAGAGGAACACTCAGCCACCCTCACTTCTTTGGTGTCACGTGCCACAGCCTGTGTTAAATGCTTTGCATGCAACATTCTGCTTCATCTTCACAAACGCCTCAAGGGCAGCCTTATTATTGCCTGTGTGGGGACAAGTCACTTGGGCTAAAGGGATCTGAAGTCCCTTGTCCATGTTCGCACAGCTGCAAAGAGGCCGCTTGATGTCACAGGCCACACTAACCAGCGTGCAGCACGTTCCTCCTCTGCACTCAGTTTAAACAAACGTGTTGAACGCACGCCACTGACAATCTAATAGCGATGGTTTACTGTGCACACAACACGGCTCAGCACTGTGCTGGGTGCGCTGGGCACCCGGCGAGGAGGAAGGCTGTCCCGGCCTTAATGAGCTTTGTCCGGCTCGCTCATCATTGGTCCCTTCCACTACAGGTCCTGTTTGGCTAGAATCTGCCAGGTGAAGACAGTAGGCTCACAGAACACTCCTCGAGAGGCCCAGTGCGAGCTTCTGCCAAAACACTGGCATCCCCCAGGCTGGGGAGGGCCTGGGCCACATGTCCACATCCCTTCCTCTGCCCCAACCCTTGGCAGAGTGGAAAAGTGAGAAATGAGGAAGGAGACATTAACTGGTGCGACCCTACAATGAAAGCTGTGGTTGTTTACCACAGTGAGAACAGCTCTGCCTGCCAACGCCAACCACCATCGCGTCTCCCTACTGCTGGCTCCCCCCAAGTGTTTATTTAAGCCAACACATTGCTCTGCTAATTGGATAGCATTCCATGTGAAAATAGACCTTTTAAAACAACAGCAGCGGTGGCAAATAAAAACAGCTGCAACTGCAAAAGTACAAAGGCACGGCAGGCCTGGGGAAGGGAAAAATTAAAGGCACATTGCATGGGAAAAAATTAATATTCTGGCTTCTGGGCTGCAAGTCTATTCTTTGTGGTCTTCCCCTTCCGTGTTGCCCTTCCTTTCTTCCTTCAGGACCAGCCCGGTCTGGGTAAAGAGAGAGGAGGTGGCAGCTTCTAACTGGAATCCCAATGGCTATTGGTGGCCACTCAGCCAATGGGGATGAGTGTACCTGGTAGGGAGTCCCCATTATAGCTGCCCAGGTGAAAGGCTGCTGCCTCCTCAGTGAGGCTACTCCTGGGGATTGGCAGGGTTGGAAGGCAGCACGGTAGAGTGTGCTAGTGGGGGCAGCTGACTGAATGCCCACTCCTCCTCTGGGGGCTGGGGGGAGTTGATTTCATTCTGGACTTGTTCCCAAGAGACGTTTTAAGGGACAACCTCTTGGCCTTCCTCCAAAGTGTCCCTCTAATTGGAGAGTCCTTCTCCTTGGTGAGGTGTCAGGGCTGGGTGAGAGGTGGTGGGCATGGTAGGGAGAAGGGGAGCTACCCAGAGCCTGGCGTGGAGATACACAGAATTTAAGTGAATCAGTGAATGAAGGGAGGAGGAATCCCTGAATGCAAGCTTTGGAATTAGATTTTTCCCAGCTCTGCCAAGTGCCACTATAAGATCTTCAGCAAGCAACTTTGTCCCTTTGAGCCTTGGTTTCCCAGCTGTCAAATGGCCTCCTACCACCTATCTCCTAGAGTCCCATGAGGATTAAAACTTATATATGCAAATATCCTACACCATCCCTGCCAAAGACGGGCTTCCAGAAGTTGACAGTTTTTATCAACTCAAAGATATTGCCCTTTTAGAAACTTCCAGGTCGTGTGGTCCCCTGGTTGCATGGCGTTGATGACACAACTGACAGCCGTGCACACGGTGTAGACCCAGGCCACCCAGGAGACCGCTGCATTCAGGATGCAGTCCTGCTTGAGTCCTTGACTTCCTACACCACCCCCATTCTCCTTCCCCCATCAACCTCTGTCCCCTGCTTCCCTCCACATGTGGGGAAGGCTCTTTAAGAAATGCCGGATCATCACACCTGGAGGTTTAGATAACACCAGCATTTTCAGAGGGACTGACATTTACTGCCCGGGACATCAGGGGCTGATAGAATGTCCTAGAGTGGGAGAATATGCCAGCTCATCGATCCTGCTTCCTCTGAGCAGGCCTCTGGTCACCAGGGCCCGTGATGAGGGCAGATGGTCAGGACCCACCCCCGGTTCACTGGAGCAGCTCAGTAACAGACCGGGGTCTGGGCTTCCCATCAATTCATAGGGCTCCACGGTGGCTTCAGTGCTGGAGTTTAGCAAATGCTCAGCGAGACTGGGGAGGGAGACTGGATGCAAATCTCCCACCCGATGCTGGAGCTGCCACAGGTTGGGGTGGGGCAGTGCGAGTGTGGTGAATGTCACATACAAAGCCAGCGCGCTCGCGGGAGCCTCTTGCTATTATCATCAGTTGCCTGGTTACTCTGAGCTCTGCCACAACAGCCTTTGAGGAGCCTCTGGCTAGGATTCTCTTTCCAGTTTGGGGGTATGTGTGCTGAATCCAAAAAGGGCTTGATAGATATCACAGAGCCCTCGAGGATATGCACAGTGGGACGTGGGTCTCATGGAGAAGGGTCAGACAACTCAGAACCCCTCAGTTCGGGGACGGTGGAGACGGCATGTGCTCAGGGCCACAGCAGGGACTGTGGTGTTGAGGGGATGCCTTAACTCTTCTATCCTCTGTCAGCAGGCAAACGGACTGGTGGATGATGGGGAAAGAACACTGTTCTGGGAGTTGAGATACCGGGGAGCAAGCCGCGGCACTGGCCCCTCCCAGAAACCATTCATTTCTCCATTCCTGTTCCAGCCTCAACTTCTACAATGAGCTTAGCTGCCCCCTCCTTTCAGCCTATCCTGGTCCCTTCTTTCCTCCCATCTGACGATTGCTGGGGCAGACCTCCTGGCTTAAGAGGTGGCCGATGCCAACACAGGGGGCGACTATTTATCTTCATCGAGGGTGCCATGACAGGAAATGGGATCAATGCCCTTGGCGGGGGATCTGAGTGGGTCAGGGTTGAACTGAGCCCTGGGAAGGGTTTTTGAAGGAAATCTCCTTCCCTAAGAGCTTCAACAGGGGGAGGATGCACAGGAGCCGGCCCTGAGAGGCTGGGATCATGGAGGATCCTCTACCAGCCCTGGGTTCTCACTAATTCCTTCTGCTGAGATAAAAAAGATCACCAGTGCTTTTGACTCCATGTCTCTGGCAGTATTGCTCTCCCTCTTCAAACTCACGCCCACCCTCAAGAGCTAACTAGATATTTACAATATTCAGAATCCTATTCACTAATATGCAGTGTGGACGATTCTACGGGTCAGTGGAGAGTGCTAAATGTTCCACTCAGAAGACAATAAAGTTCTCCAGACAGACCTGGAGCTGGGGAGGGAGAAAGCAATGGCAGCTTCCCTAGGAAACAAAAAGAGCAAAGGGATCCTTGCAGGAAAGATGTGCTTGTGATGGGCTCCTCCTTCCTGGAAGACGAGTGCGTTCCATGGCACAAGCCCCAGTGTGGGAGAGGGAAGTCACTACAGGGATGGAGGGGCCAGAAATAGCCACCTGATGGGGAGAAGGGCCAGTCCCGGAGAGGCTGTGAGTTGAGCCTGTACTGTCCTCGGCTGCCCTTTCTCCTCCCAGAGCCCGGAGTAAAGGCAGGGAAGGGATGGAGGGGGAGGAGCTGCCACCTCCATAAATCACTAGAGGGCTGTGCTGGGCTTCAGAAGGAACATCCACAGCCGGGCCTGGGTGTGCCAAGTGCGAGCCACCTGGGCACTTGGTGAACTTCCTCAATGGCACTCACTGCCTTGATTACCTGGGAGTCCACCTTCTGTCCTAATAAAGCTGAAGAGCAAAACTTAGCCAACGGTGACATGTCAAAGGGCTCATGGCTGGGGCCCAGCCCTGGTTGGACCCTCCATGTCCCAAGGGCTGTGTCAACTCGGCATCAACCTCTTGGTGCTGAAAGAGGGCTTCCAGTGAAGGGGCTCCAACGCCTTTGCTCTCTGCTCTCATCAATGGCTGGGATCCCCTCCACCTCTGACAAGCCATTCAGAACAGCAGTGAGCGTTTCCTGGAGGTGCACCCATTGGGCTTTAAATTTAAGGTTGACATCACAAGAGGCCCAGTGGGTGGGTGAGAAAAGAGGCCCAGTGGGTGGCCAAATAAGAAGGGGAACACCCTTTCTTATTTCAGACCATCACCACTGTCACCACCAATGCCTTCCGCCTCCTCATCACAGCCAATAGCCCGTATGTAGGGGCCAGGCCCTGTTCTAAATTATCACCCCATCCAAACCTCACAATGACTCTATGAAAATATGGAAAACCCTGTGACCATTTTACGAGGGGAGGAAACTGAGGCACACAGAAAGGATGTCACTTGCCCAAGGTCACACGGGAGATTTGTGGCAGCTCTGGGGTTCAAACTCAGGCAGTCTGGCTTTGAAGTTTGTATTGTAACAACAAGCTCTTGCATTGTTCTTTGTAAGAGACATTTCTTAGGAGCAGAGAGTGAATCCCTCATTTCTCCCCCAAGCACAGCCTCCTATAGGAACTCTGATATAAGACAGATGACAACACTTCTACACCATCACTGCCCAATCCCCTTGGATACCCAGAGCTCAGTGGAATGCAGTGGAGAAAAGACGCTGCCCTGTACTCTCTTCTATCCACAGAGCATCACATGTGTGCACGAATCCATAGACCAAGGGTGGCTCTGAAGGGAACCAGGCTGGTGGCAATGAGAAGGAAACGGTGTACTGGTATCGAGTACCCACCACATGCCAGGACCGAGTCAGTGTCTCCCATGCATCACCTGCCCTAACCCTGGGAGGGGGGCGCAGCCATCATTCCCGTTTCACAGATCAGAAAACTGTGGCACAGGGAAGGCCAGTGTGGGTTGAACTGCCGTGGGTGGGAGCTCTGAAAGGCAGCCCTCCGCTGCTGCCCTGAGCCAACACAGGGCACCACGTGCCTGCCCCGCTGTGAGGGTGAGGGCCGTGACCTGCTGCATGCAAGGTGTGTCCCCTGCTGTCTCTGATGAGAGGCGAGGGAAAGGCTGCCAGCCAGGAGGAGAGAGGAGCAGATGTCCAGACAAATATGGCCATGTGTCAACAAAACAGGCACTTGAGCTCAAGACTCGGAGACAAAGGTGGCTGGCGAGGCTCTCCGAGGGTCCCCATGCGCCTTCTCTGCCTGTGCATGTTCCCAGGGCCCACAAAGGCCACAGCTGTGTCCTGGAGCTGCCACCTTTGGCTCTGCACAGCTGACCCACCCCCTGGGCCTCTTGTGATGCCAGCCTGCTAAAGCCCAATGGCTGTGACTCCAGGAAATGTTCACTGTTCTTCTGAGGAGCAGCTCGTCAGAGGTGAAGGGGATCCCAGCCATTAATGAGACCTCCCTGTCACTTTATTTTAGCCTTGAGGAATAGTGAGGCTGAGAGAGGGGACAGGCCACCTGTGGGCAGAGCTCACGGAAGGCAGCCCACTGTGACAGCTCTGCAGCCACATTCCTTCTGGATTCTGACCTGGAGCTCAATGCCACGAGGGCAGTGGCTTTGGGTACAGCCAGGCTCTTGTTCACACAGCCTCTGCCCCACATTGGAGGCTGGGCCCAGCACCCACTGCAGGAGCAAAGCCTGGCTGTGCTGTACTGAACCAATTTGGAGATGCCGCCTTGCTTCAAAAATAAAAGGTTCTCAAGGAGCCTGGAGGGATTTCGGTATGCACGCTTGCATGCAGCTGCACCTGCAGGGGCTGCCCTCACAGATAACCAGCACAAAACAGAAGCCCTGGCCATGAGCGGAAAAAAGGAAGGGGAAGACGCATTCCCGTGGCTGCTTCTTGGGTGTCTCCTACTCTCCAAGCGCCCTGCCCTCTCTGCACTGTTCTGCGTGGCATTTCCCATACTGCCTACCCCAGGGGGCCACCTGAACTGAGGAATTTTCTTGATGACGTGGAGAGGCCTGGGAAACCCATTTGCTTCCCATCCCCAGTTTATGTCCCAGGTTCCTGCATATGTGAAACTAGGGGAGGGAAGGGGACACAGAAACTGCCCCTTCCTCCAAATACAAACCCCCCAGGATCTTCTCCAAGGATGTTGTACACATTAAGCAGAAACAAAGGCAAAAAAAGAACACCTGCATGGGGAGGTGACTCTGTGTGTGTTAGAGGCCTGGCTGTCTCTCCTACAATGGGTACTGGAAAGGGGAGGCCTGGACAGGTGGGGAAGGGATTCACGGTCTCACCTTCGCATCCTGCTTGGTGAGGAAGTCCACAAAGCCGAAGCCTCTGTGTGTGCCTGTCCCAGTCATCTTCTTTGGCAGGCGGACCGTCTTCAACTCCCCAAAGGTGCTAGAAACAAAAGGCAAGACATAGGGGTTTAAGAATAGAGGCCCGCAAGGGAGGTCGGGAAGGCAGGACTGATTCTCACATGTAAATCCCTTTGGGTTATAAAAGACAAGTGCATGCAGGCACACACACGCTCACACATGTCAGCTCAGGGGCATGAGCAGCCTTCTCCTCCCAGGCCCGGGCCATCAGGCAGGGCAGGGAGGGAACAATCAGGCTGGAGATGTGAATGGAGAATTTTTAGTTCCTCTGCAACCAGCTAGAGACTCCCTGCCCCCATGGGGCCCCACTTCCCTGTGGGGTAACTATGCACTGGGGAGGACCCTGCCTAGTACACAAGCAGCCAGGCTCCGGTTGAGGGGCCTGGCCAGGGCAAGGGGCTGCCCATGTGTGCTAGTAGGGGCTCTGGACATGTGATCAGCAGGGTTGCCTGACCTTTCCAAACTGCCTGTATGTCTGAGCTGAGCACATGGCGACCCCAGGCTGAGCAAATGGGATGGGGCCCTTTCTCCTGGACCTGGGACCTGGGACATGTATTTCTTCAGCGCTCAAATGATACGCAGCTACTCCCTTTAAACCCTGCTTCCCCTCCCTGTGAGCTTTCATTTCGATATCTTCTAAGCCAAAGTCAGGCAAAGCTCTGGAGAAGAAAATGGCTTGGCTCCTCCTGATAGGGATCAAACTGGTAACCACGGCCTTGGACCATCCCCCCCGGTTCCCTTCTCTCCTCTCCTCCAGGTTAAACCTTTGAGAAATTGTAGGACAAAGGGATAGGGCTTTCTCAGGCCTCCCTTGCCTCCCTGTCTCACTTCCCACCTCCCAATCCCTTTCTAATGTCCATTTATCAAATATATATGCACAAATTGCTACCGATAAATATTTAATGTGCACGGCATCTGAAGAGAGGTATTATTTTATTTGAAAATCTACACACACTTGCGGCTGCCTGGGCACACACACATATGCACGATGGTCTAGGATGCTTCGGGGCCAAAGACTGATTGGGTAAAAAACACAGTAAAGGCCGTAAGCTCTCGTGAAATGATATAAGCTAAATCCGAAGTGTTAACCCACAGCCCTGCCAGCATGACCAGGCATCTGCCAGCCCAATTTCTGAAGGCAGGACAGTGTGTAAATGCGGCATTATGAATCCTCAAAATGAATCTGCACGTCTCCTCGGAGCTCTCCCCAGCAGCTCTGCTCCCCCCTCCTGGTGCCTCCTCTGTGCAGGCAACGAGAAACGGCAGAGAGGCACTGGTGACAAGGCCAGCCTCCCGGGGAGGGGAAGGAGCCAGGAACGTGGGGAGTGGAGCCCGGTCAGGTTTCCCTGCTGGAGGGGGGCCAGGGCTGGGGACCAGAGGCTGGGCAGGTGGGGACAAGGTGAGGTTGGAGAGCTGAGGAGTCAAGCCCACAAACCCTACTTCATTCTGCCACCTAAAGGCGGATGCATCCCATGACAGACACAGTCTCTCTTCCCTCCACCAAAGCCCCTCTGCCATGCTGGCTTTGAACAGGGAGGGAAGGGCGTGGACAAATTTTCTTGTAAGCTCGTTCAGATGAATGGTTCTTTGGGTCCAAGTCTTCAGAAGCCCACTGGGACTACAGGGATGGCACATCCGGCAGCTAAGGGGCTGGAGCCTGAGAGCGTTCAGAGCTGGTATGAGGCAACTGAGAGGCACATGGAAGACCAGGCTGGGTGCTTTCTCAACACGGCCATAGACAGCCACTGGGTGAGCTGGTTCCTCTGTCCGTGCCTTGGCCTCACCTAACTGCACTAGCCCCGAGATGTCTTTCCTGACCCCTGGAGGCTGGGGTGACTGCCCCCATCCACAGTGTCACCGCTCACTGTGCCCCCTGACCAGGGCTCTGTGGGGTGCATGCCTTCCCTGGCCAGGGCTAGGGCTCAGCTCCGCAAGAGTCCAGGCCCCATCTATCTTGCTCATCACTGGACCTGTGTCAGTGAGCCCAGGAGTCGGGCTCAGGGTAGAAGCCTGAAGGTGTTTTGGAACGAATAAACAAGCAAATGGTAGCCCTGGAAGGTAGACATTACCACGGGTAAATTACACCTACCCTCAGAGGGCGGTGATGAGGGTGAAATGAAATACACATAGCACAAATGTGAACTATTGTTAGCCTTATCATTCCCATGTTACAGATGAAGAAACCAAGGCTCTGGGAGCCAGGGATCCTTCCTCACAGGCAACAGGGTTAGAATGTGAATCCAGGCATGTCTGACGTTAAGCCCAAGCTCTCTTTCTGCTGCACAATGACTCAACCCGCTTGCATCATCTGGACGGGGACTGGCCACTTGCAAGAGCTGGGGCCTCTTTCTTCCCGAGTCTCGGCCAGGTCTGAGGTGAAGCAGGAAGGCCCCATACGGGGTGGCTAGGAATGCCCTGTGTGGACTCCCAGGGGTCCAGTGACTTCCCTAAGACCACCAGGCAAGGTGGGGGTAGACCGAGTCCCAGTTCCTTCTGCCCACACTGTGTGCAAACCCTCTACTTCTGCCCACAAGGGCTATAATCTCCTATCCCTTGATGGTCTCAATGACCTCTGCCCAGATTTCTGGTAAGCCAGACTCTGTGTGTGTGTGTGTGTGTGTGTGTGTGTGTGTGTGTGTGAAGGAGAGAAGGGGTCGGGGGGTGGTGGTGTGAGAGAGAAAGAGAGAAGGAGAGAAAGAGAGAGAGAGAGAAAGAGACTGTTGGGGTTAATTCCTCCCTCTCTGCAGCACACTGCAAGCTGTGGATGCTCTGTGCATGGTAAGCAGCTAAGGGTCCGGAGAAAGGCGAGAAAAATAATTAAAAGGTAGAGAAAAACGCTGTTGAGGAGAGGCTACAGAAGACATGCTTTTGTGGCCTGCAAAAGTGGCATTTGAGAGTTCAGCAGGGAAAGCTGGGACAGAAGGGCACCCTGGATCTACCAGGGATCGTAGGCAGGGATCAGGGAGCTGGGGATCCCATCCCAGGCAGCTGAAGGGCCTTGGGGGAGGTCACAGCTGTGGTTGGGGGTTTCCAGGCAGACATCAGCATGACAAATGAAACGCCACCCACAAAGACTCTAGAAGCTTCAGAAATCCTATTATTCTTCAGAGTCAGAGAAATGGCTACAGTGAGCAGGTTTCTTTCCTCCTTCTAAGAACAGGACATGAGAGAACTGAAGCTTAAGGAGGAGCTGAAAGATCAGGGTTAGATCTTAGAAGGAACTTCCCGATGTCTGTGGACACTTCCTGAAATGCATGGATGAGGCTTCAAGACACCATCATTGCTGCCATCATTTCCGCTACCAATGAGTGCCTGCAATATGCAGTCTTTTAAATACATCATATCCATGCCTCTGTTTTACAGATGGGAAAACCAAGGGACGGAGAAGAAAAGCGACTTGCCCATGTCTCATGGCCCCAGGAACTCAAAATCGAGGCGAGATCTTTCTCATCCGGGCTGCTTCTCCCAGCCCAAGAACAAAGCTGGACAGTGAGTGGCTTGGTTGCTTGTATAACGGTGTGGGATCATATAAGGCCAATACTAATGATCTCAGAGAGCTATCGAAAGAGAATTAAAAAGAAAAAAAAAGGTTGGGGGAGAAGAAATCGATGAAGTACCTTTAGCTCCTTGGAGATAAGCGATATATAAATACCAGCCATTATTAAGGTTCTTATCTGACAGCAAGGTCTACGAAGCTGTTTTTAAGAGCAGCTTTTGAAGGAAGTTGTGCATGAACCTTTGTCTCCTGGGAGCTGAGGCCAGTGTTGGGGCGAAGCTGCGCAGGGCCACCAGGGACTGGGGAGGAAGAAAATCACAGGGCACCCAGGAACTCCTCCCTGAGCCCAACTCTGCCGCTCGGGGGGAAGGAGATGCACACCACACTCCCCACTGTGCAGATAATAGAAACCACAAAGTAGCAATTACTGTATCAGAAGCTGTGAATAAAGAGGACATACCGGGCTTTTAAACACAGCCCTCCTTCCCTCCCCCACCAGGCTCACACTTCGGTAACAAACTCACACCTCACTTTTCCAATTATTTCATTCACCCTGGGTTCACCAATTACTCCCCCACCCTGCAGCCCCACCCCCTCTGCCATGCCAGGAACATGATTGGTGGTGGGTTTGTGGGTTTTCCACAACTAGAGTTTGTTGTCACGTTTCTAATTTCTTTTGAGGTGTGTGGTGGGGGGAGAGAAGGGAGGAGGGGGGAGGAGGTGGGATGGGGCTCCGAGGTGTTGCATGAGGCAAGCCAATTATGCCCAGCACTCATAAACAAGTCGGGGGATGGAAATCGTGTTTGCACACAGGCCTGAAGGCAGACACAATACGTGTGTCTGTGTGTGTGTGTGTGTGTGTGTGTGGGGCCAGCGTATGGGTGGGTGGGGATTTCCTCTCTCCGTGCAAATTGCGTGCCCCCTGACTGGTCTTGCCCCAGCCCTGGCCAGCAGCTGCTACCGAAAAGGGATGAATCATCTTGGGTCTCTCTCTCCCTCCCTGACTGAAGCGACAGGCTCAGGGGGAAAGAAGTGAGAGGAAGGCTGGAGCAGAGGAAGCGAGAACCCTCCAGAGATGCGGAGCTGGACAGTTTTGCAGCTGTGCTGGTACCTGGAGCCTGGGCAGGCTGGGAGTCCTGCTTAACCCCACAGCCTGCATGCTGGCACCAAGTGGGGGTCAAACCTAGGGCCTTCTGCTCCCAGGACATAAGTCCCCCTCACTATTCGGATCTGCTGGAAGAACCAGAATCCCAGCAGAAGTGCTGAGTCATGTGGGGGAGTTTGCTGGCATAACTTCTCCCCACCTGCACCCAAGGCATTGTTGAGAAAAGAAAGTCTGCTGCCACCTAAGAGACCCAGAATCAGAACAACGGTGTGATCTGAACAAGATGAAGGGGTGGTTTCATGATAAGAATAAACTACAAGCTTCTTCTGCTCCTTCTAGAGGTAAGAAAAAATAGCTCAATCTCTTGGCATTAAAAAGCCTTTCAAATATGCCACCCCTACCAATTTTCTAACACACATGATGCACATACACGCACATCTGTCCATTCACTGGGTACTTCCTCAGCGCTTACGTGCCCTGCAGCATGTTAGCACCTGCTGGACATGAACTCACAAGGCCCATGTGAGCTGAGCAATGTCAATCCCATTTCCTAGATGGAGAAAACTGAGGCTCAAAGAAGGAACATGATTTCTCCAAGGTCTCGGTGAGCCCTTACCTACCACAACAGGCGAAGTGACTTGCCCAAGGTTCCATGGGCAGCATCAGGCTTAGCTAGGCTCAAAGTAGGCGGTGTGCCCCACAGGTCTATGCTTTGCTAAGAGCTCACACGATTGGTCCACCTATCTACAAGCAGCCAAAGATGATGCAGAGTGCAGGGAGGGAGTCACCAGCAGGTCAAGTATTAACCTTGCCCTCACCTTGATTGGGGGCAGCTGCATGGGAAGCCTCTTAGCTGGGAAGCAGCCAGTGAGCTCCCTCCCCTCTTCCTCAGATGCTCAAGAAGACTATGGGATAAAGCCACTTATCTCAACTGATAAAGGTATAGAGCTGAGGATGCCTGATCTTTGCTTACTGCTCCCCTGGCCCCATCCTAAAGAAGGGCCCCACCAGTGAACTTATGGACCCATGGAACCATTCCCACTGAGCAAGAAATATGGTAAGATGGCAGCTGCCTTGCATGGTGTCCTGTCTCACATTCCTCTTCCCTTACAGAGTTCCCATGTGGCCAAGGGCCCCAGTTGTGGCAAGTTGGAGAGATAGACCAACTGCACAGCTAGGAACAAACCTATCCCTTCATCTATAATGGGCAATTTCTGTAGTGGAGGGAGGCTTGGGAACAGAACTATCATCTAAAATTCTCACTTTTCCTGAGATACATACAAACTAAAGCCTTTGGTGAGGGCTTGTCTCAAGCCTGTCTCATCCAACTCTCTAACAGAGGCTAATCCAATCAGTCTGGTGGGTTTCAATGGGTACTAGTGCCCCAAGTTTCACAAATATGTGCTAGTCATCGCCACTCCCACAGTGGGTTTCAATGGCTACTACTGTCCCCAGTTTCATGAATATCTGTCAGTCATCACCATTCCCACAGTGGGTTTCAATGGCCACTACTGCCTGGAGTTCTGTGTGTATGTGCCAGTCATCATCTCTTCCAAATTGCTTAACTCTCTAATGGTTTTTGCATCCTTAGAATAATTTCTGAGCTCCTTACTTGGGAATCAAGGCTGTGCCTGATCAGACATACTTTTCTTGCTCTCCAATCTTATCTCATGCCCTGCACCCCCTCATTTACTATGAAGAATCCACACTGGCTTTCCCCATTCCCTGAACCCACCAAACGTATGCTTACCTCAGGGCCTTTGCACTTGCTTTTTGTATCACCTGGAACCCTGCTTGCCTAGATGTTTTCACAATTGACTCTTTCTTGCCATTCAATTCTCAGCTGAAATGCCACCTCCTCAAAGAGGCCTTCTGTGACCATCCTATCTAACGTTGCCTCCTTTGCACACCCACCCCTGCCTGTCACATCTGAGCACTGTCTGAAATGGCTTGTTTACTTATTTATCTTTCCTCTCATTTTGCTAGAGACTGAAAGTGGACTCCAAGATGTCATGGCTCTTATACTCTGTTGTGTCTACAGAACCTGAGACTGTGTCTAGCACTCAGAAAACACTGTATCCATTCATTTAATCATGAATTCATCATCTATTGACATCTCCCCGAGTGCCAGGTCCCTATACTTCTCATGCATTATCTCATATAACTGTATGTTCTTGTGGAAGCATAGTCACACTTGGGGGCAACATATTCAGTCTTTCTGTCCCATAGGATGATGCTCTTTTATGCAGTGCAACCATATGCTATTACAAGGAGCATTTGGTCCTCAAGAATCAACACTCTTTCCAAAGTATCCATGTTTATTCCTTCCAGGCAATGAATCATCACAGCAAGAAAAAAAAAAAGGGGGCAGGGGGGCCAGCTAGATCATTTACCAAGGGAATACTGTCTGGATAATGATGTTCAAATCATGTGCTGCTTGGTGGGAACGAGAAGACACTGGCTCCTTCACAGGCAACCCTGGCCAAGATGCAGACACAAATAAGGAGTTTCAGCATGGTTTGCCCTGCACTGAGATGTTTTCTCTCCCGCAGAAGGTTATGTTGATGAGTGTGTACAAAGTGCAGGGTCAAGCCTGCTCTGACAAGAGGCAATGGCTTTGGAAGCCATTTAATGGAGGCATATTTAGGAGTGGAGTTTCTTCCTCTTCTGTTCTTGCTCTCCCTTCTTAGAGTGCCTTTTAGACTGAACTTCTCCAGCTACTGCTCATCATGGTGAGAGCCAGGTGTAGAAAGGTTACCTTATCACCATCAACGCAATATTCCCTTTCATTTTTGCCTCCTGGAGGCTGAAAAATGGCCTAGATTCCAAGAAAGTGAAAAAAAGAGGTGTGGAGGAGGGCCTTTAGCTTTTCTCAATAGCGTTTCCTTGGGGTCCTTTCCAGGCAAGCATGACCCTCTCTCATTTTCTAGATGAGAAATCCCAGGGATGAGCACTTAAATGGTATTTCTAAATCAGAGTCAGGGCCTGCGTTTCAGATGGAACCCACAGACTCTCCTGAGAGGCTCTGGATGGGGCGGATTTGGCATGCAAAAAGTAGGCTCCTGGCCTGGCTCTGCCCTCACCAACTGGGTGAACCTGGGCAAATCATTTCCAGCCTGGACTGATACCTGGACTGGTAGCATCAGCATCACCAGGGAGCTTGTCAAAAATGCAATGTTCTGCCCTCCTCTTGTCTTTCTGGATCAGCTCAGGGGCTGCACCAAGCCCTCTAGGTGAGTGTGGGCCTGCTCAGGGTTGAGGTCCACTGCCCCACTGGAAGGGACAGGGGCCACTCAGCCCCAAGCTAGATAGCCAGGTGGACATCTGGGCCCAGGACTAGCAGATCTTCCCCTTCTTCCAAAGAAGCTAGTGGTCCAGATTATTTTAAGAAATGAGATTTTAAAATATTGGTAACAAAGTCAAGACACCGTGTTGCCAAAAACAACAGAAGGAGTCTGTGGGCTGCCTTGGGTACCACGTCCTACATTTGGGCTCCATTCTGATTTTGGTTTCAAGAGATCATAAGAGCTGGTCTATATCCCTAAATAAGGAATCCTCTTACCTCCTTATGACCTGGGGTTAGGTCTTGGGACAAGCAACAGGGTCTTTCTGACCTCTCCTTTGGCCCCTGCAGCCTACCAGCCCTCTCAGTTGTGTTCACATCATGTAGCCTCTGCAGGATTCTAAGCTCCTTGGGGACAGAGAGGGTCTTGCCATGGCAATTTGCTGCACAGCATCTACCTCAGATGTGAACACATTTGTGGCTACACTTAATGAATGAATTGAATCATCCCTCGCCAATCTCCAGCACCGAAATCACAATTTGAAGCTTGGTAGGAATTTTCATGGGACTCATCATTCAGATACTATGGATCCTGCAATCATCACCAGGCAAATATTTCCCAAGCATATCCTCTGTGCAGGCACCAAGCTCTGGGCTGGGAAAGAAATGTGGACCTGATGTGCTCCGGCCTCCAGGGGGCGTGGATTTTAAGCCGGTGGTTTTCAATCCCCTCCAACCCAGGGTTGGTGCACACTCTCAGCAAAATAGTTTTCAGCATGCATCTCCAATATATGTACAGTTTAAAACTGATAAATAATATGCATATGTACTGCTATTTCATTCTCTTTGTAAATCTTTAAATAAAAATTAGGAAATTTAAGGCCAGCTACGGTGGCTCACACCTGTAATCCTAGCACTCTGGGAGCCCAAGGTGGGTGAATAACTTGGGGTTAGGAGTACTAGACTGCCCTGGCCAACATGGTGAAGCCCCATTTCTACTAAAAACACAAAACAAAAATTAGCCAGGCATGGTGGCGTACACCTGTAAACAGCCCAGCTAGTGGGGAGGCTGAGGCAGGAGAACTGCTTGAACCCGGAAGGTGGAGATTACAGAGAGCCGAGATTGCACCACTGCACTCTAGCCTGGTTGAGAGTGAGACTCTTGTCTGAATAAATAAATAAATAAATAAATAGGAAATGTAGAAGGATGAAATAAAACCTAAGTAGAAATGGACATTCTAGTATTTTTTCTCCTGTTCCATCGCAGGCACCTTCGGTAGTCACACCCTTTATTTAAGAGCACACAGCAGGCCAGGCATTGTGCTAAATATAGTCCATGTATTACTCTTATGCGTCCTCAGTAACTCTGTGGGGCAGCTGTGTGGCCATTTTACATACAGGAAAAATGAGTCTCTGGCTGCTTAAGGTATTTACCAAAATGTACAAAGCTATTAAATGGTGAGACAGGTCTCACACCAAAGCCTGATGAAACCCCAAAGCCTATGCTCTCCTTACCTGTTGCCTCACAGTAGACGGGGTAGATCTGTGCGTACAGTTTAGAAGCAACTGAAGGGGGAACCCTGTCTGCTGAACCTGAATAGAGTCCTCGGGCAGAGAATTTCATAAAAATAGAGTTTTAAAAATCAGAGATAACTTTTTTAAAACAGTGTTTCTTGAACTTGTCCTGAAAGATATTGATAGATATTCTATGTTTAAAGTCTTCTGGGATTTGGTAAGTTTGGGAGACATCTATTTAAACAGAGTTCAGCAAGCTTTTCTGCTGCAGACCTTGACAGTGCCTTTAAGATGTTAGGTGCATGGAGGATTTCTCTGGGAAAGGAAAAGACATAGTGTTTCTCAAACTCCCAAACAAGGAAAGCTATTAGCATCTCTCAGGACACTGGTATTCCATGGAATACAGCTGGGAGGTACGATATGGGAGAGGAGAAGAAGGCAGTCACTTCAGAAGGGCCGAACATACACATTAAGGCACAAGGCCTTGGTCTTTAACTAACATTCAGGTAACACTTCTAACTCACCAGGGACTGTATACAGCAGGGAGCTTCTGCAGAGGAAGTCTAGCTCTGACAGTGAGGGGCTGAATCACAGCATCACCAAAAGAACCTAAGTGCGGAGCCAGACTTTGGTTCAGATCCCAGCCCGGCACCTGCCACCACCTTTCTGAGGCTCAGTTTTGTCACCTATAAAATGGGCTCCAACCAACGTCCCCCAGCCCACACAATGTCGTTGAATCCAGGTTCCTGGCATGTATCAGGAACTGAAGAAATGGGAACTGTTGTGAGTAATGTGCTTATCTGTGAAAAGGATCTATATTGGTGCCAAGCAGGTGACCCCTCCTAAGCCCTTATGGTATTTTGGGTCAAAGCGAGGAACTGGCTGAGAGTCCGACCCCTCCTAGTGAACATCAGGAGTTCCCAGAAAAGACCTGAGATGGCAAAGGGGCCTAAGCAAAAGAGGCCAGATGTGATTCTGTGATTCGTGGAACTCTGAAGAAGCAGTGGATCTCCCTCTTATCCACATGGATAATTGGAAGAAATTGTCCCCAAGGAGGCATCTCTCAGCCAGACCCAGGCACCTCTGCCATCCCTTGGGCAGGGCAAGCCCTTGGGATAGCTGTGCATGCTCCTCCTCTCAGGAGAGGATGGAGGCACGATTTCTGGCCTGGGGTACTGCATTCTGGTCAGTTCCACCCCTCTGCCTGAGTGAGTTAATGAAACACACAGTGGATGCTCTCCCCCACTTTCTCCCCCTCTAGTCTTCAGCTGCCTCAAGTACAGCTAATCCCATTACAAGAAAATAAAGTGGATAATTCAGGCTAATGAAATCGTTACTAAAATGTGGCCAGCCAGAGGTGGACATTCAGAACCAATTTAACACCCTTTGGTGTCGTTATCCTCAGTACACGAAATGTGAAAAGAGGAAGGACAAAAATTAAAGAGGAAAAAAAAAACCCAGCCGTTTGCTTGTTATCTTAAAAATGGTTCAAGAATTAATCAGCCGCATATCTTGCTTTTTGCTATTATCTCCATCAGGCCTGATATCTCCAAGGTAACTCCAGAAACTCCAAGAGGAGATGAAGAGAATCCAGGAAGTCACCAGCTGTGGTGAACATTGTGCCTAACTTGACACCCTTTGTTTTGCCCATTTCTGCTGCCACTCTAAGAAAAGCCACTATGGGGTGAACTCCTGGGCTCCCAGGGCTGCTCCACGTCAACACCAAATCTAGAAACCTCTGGTACTGGATTTAACTACCCCTGGGGTTGCCATGAAGATGAAGTTCCAGGATCCTGGAAGGCTGAGGGTGGAAACCAAGTTAGTGATGAGGCAGGAGGAGAAGATGGGGTGAGCTCTCTTGTAAAACAGAGCAGGGAGCTGGATCTACTGTTTCAGAGTGAGCAGGCGATGGCAAGCAGGAAGACACACTGTGTCGCCGGCTCACACCCACTCCTGCTGCCTGCTGCCTGCTGATGGCCACGCCTCCTGAAAAGGCTGGATTCAGGGTGGCCGCTCAACTTCGCAGCACCTGCTATCTCCACTCTGTGCCCACTCCTTCGCCTGCCACGTCTCCTACAGACACTGAAAGGGCCCTATCAATTTATTTGGTTAAGATCCATTTCAATGCTCAGAACCCTAATGTGGTCTGCAGAGCATGAATCCAGATGGCCTCGGGTTGCCTTGCACCAGTCCTGTACTGTGCTGCTCTCCCAGTCTGTTTTGACTCCTCAACCTAAGGCAGGAATCTTCCAAAGACCTGGATCCTCCTACTTAGAGAACAAGGAGGGCAGGTGATGAGAATAAGGGGGCTATCAATGGAAAAGCAGAGCAACAAGATCTTACAAATACAGGGAGAATGTCCACTGAGGTTGCAGGGTTTTGCAGGGTTTTGCAGGGATCAAGGGAGGGGCACAGGTGGGTAGGTAGAAAGTTCCAGTCCCTAGGAAATTAGAAAACTCTCCATGTATCGTCTCCGCACTAACAGCACCAAGCAGCAGCCCATAGCCACCAACACCGGCTTCTGCTTACTGGTCAAGAGGAAGACATCCCAGGGAGATTTGAGATTCGTGACATAGCAGTTTGTGACTATCAGGGTGCTGACCTCTCTGAGAAGCACAAGGTGACACACCTCAACATCCAGACACATCTACATGGTTTCCAGAGGGCATCTCTATGACAGGGGCCCTCCAATGGCAGCAGGAGGCCCCTGCATATGGTTCAGTGAACCAGATTCCTCTTGCAGGGCACAAATGGAATGTGAGGCAATGCCACCATTTAGGGGCCAGCACAGAGACTCAGGGAACAAGAAGCTTAGAGCAAAGCAAGTCACATGATGTTAAGGCTATGTGACTACTACAGCCTGCACAAGGAGATGTTGTCACGCACTCCTCAAGACTCCAGAGAAGCCAAAATAAAGAAAAGAGCCCCTGGCAAACAAAATGATGCCTGAAACCCACATACTAAGCTTCTGCCTGTCACCTATGGGAAAGCCCTTGGCCCTGCCCCGTGGCCCAGCCACTGAAAGCCTATTTACTTTTATTTTAGAAACAAACTCGTTTATTTAATTTCTCATCCCAGAGGAGTTGAAAAGGGCACTGGGATTAATAGTGGCAGGTTCCTAAAAGACTTCCAGAAGTGACAACTAGCAGCCACGAATTAGACCAGGGATGCACACATTTTTTCTATAAAGGGTCAGACAGTCAATAATTTTAGCTTTGCGACTACTCTACTCTGCTCTGTAGCGTGAAAGCGGCCCCTGATGATATGTAAATGAGTGGGTATGGCTAGGTGCCAGTGAAACTTTATTTACCAAAACGGACGACGGGGACGTAGGCTTTAGTTTTTTGATCCCTTGATTACACAAAAAGTATCAAAACATGATATTAAAACCACTGGAAAAGCACAGCAGTCTGGGGCTATTTAGGACAGGGGCAAACAGCAGACACACCTCAACAGATCTGACCAGTGTCCCCAGACTGTGGCCTGGGCTCAGGATTCCTTGCACTGGTTAGAAAAGGCACTGTGTCTCAGTCTTTGCCGCCGCGCCGGCGAGCGCCGCCCGGGAGGCAGCGGCTGGAGGAGCGGACGGGCCCCGCGGGGCCGGAGGGCAAGGAGCAGCCGCCTGCCTTGGCCTCCCAAAGTGCCGAGATTGCAGCCTCTGCCCGGCTGCCACCCCGTCTGGGAAGTGAGGAGTGTCTCTGCCTGGCCGCCCATCGTCTGGGATGTGAGGAGCCCCTCTGCCTGGCTGCCCAGTCTGGAAAGTGAGGAGCGTCTCCGCCCAGCCGCCATCCCATCTAGGAAGTGAGGAGCGCCTCTTCCCAGCCGCCATCACATCTAGGAAGTGAGGAGCGTCTCTGCCCGGCCGCCCATCGTCTGAGATGTGGGGAGCGCCTCTGCCCTGCCGCCCCATCTGGGATGTGAGGAGCGCCTCTGCCCGGCCGAGACCCTGTCTGGGAGGTGAGGAGCGTCTCTGCCTGGCCGCCCCGTCTGAGAAGTGAGGAGACCCTCTGCCTGGCAACCACCCCGTCTGAGAAGTGAGGAGCCCCTCCGCCCGGCAGCCGCCCCGTCTGAGAAGTGAGGAGCCTCTCTGCCCGGCAGCCACCCCGTCCGGGAGGGAGGTGGGGGGGTCAGCCCTCCGCCCGGCCAGCCGCCCCGTCTGGGAGGTGAGGGGCGCCTCTGCTCGGCCGCCCCTACTGGGAGGTGGGGAGCCCCTCTGCCCGGCCAGCCGCCCCATCCGGGAGGGAGGTGGGGGTGTCGGCCCCCCGCCCGGCCAGCCGCCCCGTCCGGGAGGGAGGTGGGGGGGGGTCAGCCCCCCTGCCCGGCCAGCCGCCCCGTCCGGGAGGTGAAGGGCGCCTCTGCCCGGCCGCCCCTACTGGGAAGTGAGGAGCCCCTCTGCCCGGCCAGCCGCCCCGTCCGGGAGGGAGGTGGGGGGTCAGCCCCCCGCCCGGCCAGCCGCCCCGTCCGGGAGGGAGGTGGGGGGGGGTCAGCCCCCCCGCCCGGCCAGCCGCCCCGTCCGGGAGGTGAGGGGCGCCTCTGCCCGGCCGCCCCTACTGGGAAGTGAGGAGCCCCTCTGCCCGGCCAGCCGCCCCGTCCGGGAGGGAGGTGGGGGGGTCAGCCCCCCGCCCGGCCAGCCGCCCCGTCCGGGAGGGAGGTGGGGGGGGTCAGCCCCCCCGCCCGGCCAGCCGCCCCGTCCGGGAGGTGAGGGGCGCCTCTGCCCGGCCGCCCCTACTGGGAAGTGAGGAGCCCCTCTGCCCGGCCAGCCGCCCCGTCCGGGAGGGAGGTTGGGGGGTCAGCCCCCCGCCCGGCCAGCCGCCCCGTCCGGGAGGTGAGGGGCGCCTCTGCCCGGCCGCCCCTACTGGGAAGTGAGGAGCCCCTCTGCCCGGCCACCACCCCGTCTGGGAGGTGTACCCAACAGCTCATTGAGAACGGGCCAGGATGACAATGGCGGCTTTGTGGAATAGAAAGGCGGGAAAGGTGGGGAAAAGATTGAGAAATCGGATGGTTGCCGTGTCTGTGTAGAAAGAAGTAGACATGGGAGACTTTTCATTTTGTTCTGCACTAAGAAAAATTCCTCTGCCTTGGGATCCTGTTGATCTGTGACCTTACCCCCAACCCTGTGCTCTCTGAAACATGTGCTGTGTCCACTCAGGGTTAAATGGATTAAGGGCGGTGCAAGATGTGCTTTGTTAAACAGATGCTTGAAGGCAGCATGCTCGTTAAGAGTCATCACCAATCCCTAATCTCAAGTAATCAGGGACACAAACACTGCGGAAGGCCGCAGGGTCCTCTGCCTAGGAAAACCAGAGACCTTTGTTCACTTGTTTATCTGCTGACCTTCCCTCCACTATTGTCCCATGACCCTGCCAAATCCCCCTCTGTGAGAAACACCCAAGAATTATCAATAAAAAAATAAATTAAAAAAAAAAAAAAAAAAGAAAAGGCACTGTGTATTTTAGGAAGATTTCCACTGAATGGTCAACATTTTCAGAGGGCTGATACTTAAAGGTATAAGGTGGCAAAGTCACTTACTGGGGAAACCCCTCATTGTTCAGTGATGGGAGAAATGAGACGCATGGTGCGGGTGATGAGCTGAGTTACACGTGTCTGGACCAAGTGGGGAGTGCTGTGCCCCAGAGGGCCAAGAGCCAGATATCTCGCCATCACCCTGGAGACCTGCTTAGCACAGAGACAAACAGATGAACCTAGAAACCCAGTCACCGCCCTGCTAAATGGAAACAGAGAACAGCAGCAAGGTGGAGGGTGCCACCTCAAAGGTGCTCCGACCCAGGCTGCTTGTCTGCACACGACTAGCATTTGCTGTCACCCTGCTTCATTTGTCACCTCGATGTTATGGGACTTTGCATTCTATTGCACATTTTTTCCCCTCTATTTGTTTATGGTTGGTCTTCCTTGCTAACTACTGAATGGCCGGCACCCAGAACAGTTCCAACAGCACCTGGCACACAGTAGGTGCCCACTAAAAAGTGTCTGTGGAGTGCTGATGAATGGAGTTATTAATGGATGCTTGTCTTTTCCTGGATTTTCTGATTTCTGGCCCCTCTCATGATCGGGCTCTCAATACCTGAAATAAGAAACGGGGAGTGGGAGGAAGCGGCACTTGCTGAGCACCTGCCCTGGCCATGCCAAATGCTCTACACGCGCTGCCTCCCTTTAGGCCCAGAGCAGACCCACTGGGCGGCAGGCCTCCCAGGACGCATGTGAGACCTCGAGGGGAGGTCTTATCTGAGGTCACAGGACTTGCGTGTGGGTCTGTCTGACTGTGGATTTTGCTTTGGCACACTGTGCCCCACCCTGGGGACAGTAACCAGCTTCAGCCCTTGAACTCAGTCCTTATGTTCTAGCTGGAGCCCGCCAGCCACTGGGAAATGATGGCAGAAGTGGAAAAAGAGGCTGAGGAGATGATGATGGATAGGGAAGGCGGCTTCTGAAGAGCTAGCATTCTAGAGGTTTCTGACACCTGCCATGAGGAGGAACACTCCAGAACCCCCATGATGTTGGAAAGCCCAGTTCAGATGCTCCCCATCCTCTTGGCAAAAGGCCAAAGCATCCAAATGGCCCTACACAACGGCTGAAAAGAGGGAGCGGGCATGGTCACTGAGTCTCCCTGGGAAGTCCCAGACCAAGAGGTCACAGCCATGAGGGGACCACTTTTCCAGACCAGTGGGGTACAGATTGGGGTGTACTTCAGGTAATTGAGTAGCTTCAACATCTGAGCTTCTCAAGAAAGCCAGGCCTACTGTCAACCAGGAGATGACAGCCAAGACACCTCTGCAGAAGATGCAAGCGGCGAAGCCACGGTGCGGACCGTTCGACAGAAAGCGTTGGAGGCCTCCCAGGGACATGTCAGGGGACAGGGAGCACGGGAGCGAGTGATTCATGCCGCAGAGCCTGCCAGTGCTCATGGGGAGGAGAACGAATCACCCTGCTGGGACAAATATTATTTTTAAAAGTCTGGGAAAGAAAACAACAATAAAACAAGCCGAGCTCAGGATGACTGGTGAGTTTTAAGATGCAGGGAAGGGTTGAAATGAATCTGCGAGTTGGACCATTTGTTTGAGGCCAAATAAACCAACAAAGAACTCGATTCAATTACAAAAGTTTAGAATTGGATGGTGAGTCAGAAGCTGAGAGCCCAAGAGGTCTAATCGGGTCTGTGCGTGGCCTGGAGTCCAGGACCGAGAGGAATGGACTCTGGAAGGCTGGTTCCTGGTGGTGATAGGAAAAGGCAGAACATGTGAGTCAGAGCACGCAAATGTGACAGCCCAAGTCGGGACAGCCCTTGGACATCTTGGTGTATGTAGGTGGGAGTCTCTTTTCTTAATAAGAAACCCAGTTAGGACCAGATAGGATTTGGGGTGTAGCAAAACCAAGGAGCCTGAGGCAGAAGTGAAGAGAAAGACGAGAAAAATCAATGGTCAGGAGGCCCCTTGCAACAGCCACTGTTTATCTCACAAGTGCGTTAAAGAGCGTCATTTGCAAAGTTCACGCAGAGGGAAAAGTCAATGATCGTGTCTCTGGCGACGCACAAAGCCCAGGATGTGCTTCATCTCCCAGCTGCCTCTCTGTGCACACACAGGAGAGGGGCCGTTTGTGTGAATCTCGGCCACACCTCCCCTGTCCTCACTTCCTCCTCCTCCATTCCATTTGGAAGATGGGGAAGTGTGGTCACAGCTTTTTCTGAGGCACAGTGACTATTCCAGCAGGCCTGTGGTGACGTGTGCCTTGGGGTGGGTGTGGGGTGGGGAATTTATTGTTAGAGGAAAAATAATCAAAGGTTTTCACACCCTCATGGGGCAAGGTGGGAAATAATTAAAACCAGACTAGGATTCTCTGACTGGATTCAAGTCCCGCATTAAACAGAAATTCTGTCTGGATCAGATGTTGTGTTTCCTATATCTGGGTGGGGGGCTGCTCCCGCAACTGCAGGGCAGAATCTGCAACCTATGCTGGGAGTGGCTGCCACCCACACTGGGAAGAAGGTAAGTCTAGAGGCATAGCTGGGAGGTGGGGGTCATGAGTGTGAACCTGGGAGTCCAGCTGCCTCCAGTGCTTATAAGCCTCTCTCCTCCACTTGGCCTCGGCTTGCCCATCTGTGAAATGGGGACAATGGTCTCCATGCTCAACAGTTGTGTTAAGGCTTAAAACAGATAATAAATCTATGGCAATGAACACAGAGCTGGGCCCATAGTGAGTATTCAAGAAGAAGTAAAATGGGGTTGAGCATGGTGGCTTATGCTTGTAATCCCAGCACTTTGGGAGGCTGAGGTGGGAGGATCATTTGAGCTCAGGAGTTTGTGACCAGCCTGGGCAACATGGTGAAACCCCGTCTGTACCAAAAATACAAAAATAAGCTGGGTGTGGTGGTGTGTGCCTGTGTTCCCAGATACCGTAGGGGCTGAGGTAGGAGGAATGCTTGAGCCCAGGAGGTTAGAGCTACAGTGAGCTGAGATCGTGCCACTGCACTACAGCCTAGGTGACAGTGAGACCCTGTCTCCAAAAAAAAATAGTAATAATACAATAAAAAATGTAAGAAAAAAGAAGTAAAATGGACAAATTAAATGAGTGAATGACAGGATGAACTTTGGGATTACATGTGGGGCAGTTTAAGAATAACCCTCCCTCCAGAGTGTTCTGACACCTGTGTCCTCGGAGCCAGTGAAGGGCCAGGACTGAAATCCCACTTTACACATGAGGAAAGGGAAGGTGCTTGCCCCTGCCTAGGTGCAAAATATCAAGCCACAGAGATGGCACTTGGAGCCCACCAAGGTCCCATGCCCCCACTGGGCTGCCCCTGCAGCCACAAGGATGCGTGGCTTGTCTCACTCTCTGCAAATCAAGACAGGGAAGCTTCTCTAGGGTGTGGAGGTGATTTTACTTGAAACAAGGTTTCCGTCAGGGAGAGGACCTCCTCTGATACACCAGTGACCACTGATGACCGTGAACCACAAAGACCCACAGGTTGGAACTGTGCTGTCCCAGGAACTTTTACTGACAGTACATTGCGGGGGGGTCCCGTTACCACAGAAGAAGCATTACCTGCTTGCCAAGTATCTATGGCCCCCACTACCCCTCCCAGACCCTACAGGGAGGTGGAGTTAGGGGGAGCCCTGTGGCCAGATCTGGCCCATGAGGTGTGAGCAGAGGCCTGAGTGTGGGGCTGCAGCTGTCTTCTCCCCGGCCATGGTGAAACCTGGGGGCCTGAGTGACTATGTGGAGCAGAGCCTCCTGGATGCGTCCATACACTGTAGCTAAGGTAAGCTACTGAAGTTTGAGGCTAAGTTGTTACTGCAATGCATCTAGTCCCTCCTGACTAAAACAGGCCTCAAAAAGGAAGTGCTGAAGGGAAGATCAGGATGGGTATGAGCAGGCAGCAACGAAAGCAAGAGAAATGCAAAAGGACAGTAGCTGCAAGAACAGCAGCCCCAGGATGAGAGCTCATGTAGACTGGTCTTCAGAATCCAAGTTGGGTTTGGTTCTCTACTCAGTTACAAATCACCTACTATGTGCAGGCACCTACTATGTTCAGAACGGATGGGCGAGTGAGGCCCAGCTCCTGCTCTCTAATGTCCACTGGGACAGCAATTACCATTTTAAATGATACAGAGGAAAAAAGGAAAAAAATGACTGGTTCTTTTCGACAAGGGCTCAATAAACCATGGCCTACCGGCAGAATCTGGCCTACTAAATATTTGGGGTAAATACAATTTTACTAGAACACGGCTACTCTTATTCTCTTATGTCTCGTCTACGGCTGCTTTCAAGTTACAGCAGAGCTGAAGATCTGAGACAGAAATCACATGGCCCATGAAGCTAGGGTATTTACTCTCTGGCCCTTTACAGAAACATCGACGACCCTTGTTCTCAACTCATCTCCTCCCCATCCAAACCCCACTCCATCCTTAGGCATCACATCACCACTGTATCCCCAGCCCAGGGCCCCTCTCTGCCACTGTGTCCTCATCATGTCACCCTAAACACCCGGTGTCTTGACCTCCTCACTCCCTATTTGTTTTCCTTAATCAGGTACTTACAGGGGGCACTTATTAGAAGCCGTGAGAAGATCAAGTCAATTGGTAATTAGGGAGGTTAGCACAAAGCCTCATTAGGCCTCTCCACCTCTGCCTCCCAATGTGTCATTTACCTGAGGGGGCCTTAATGATGGATAAGTTTCCAGGGATCCTGCCACTGCAGACAGCTGAACCTGGCATCGGCCATCGCAGGCCCCAAGCGGGTTCTTTTCTGCAAGTGACCAGGAGAAGGGACAAGCCACCTTACCACCCTGCCCTGAGAGTGGCAAGACATGGGGCCCAGAAGAAAGAGGTACATCCATTCTCCCTGACACACACACACACACACACACACACACACACACACACACCCTCACTCAGCAAACGTCCCATAGCACGGGGATGGCAGGAAAGCCGCCCAAGGTCACCTATGCGGAGGCCCATTAGAAAACTGTTCCCTAAACTGGACCATAGCCAAGGCATGCAACTGAGTGAAAAGAAAAAAAGCCAGGTGCCAAAGAATTGAAAAAAAAAAAAAAAAAGGGGGGGGTGGTGAGAGGGTGAGATTGGGGGAGGAGATGTACGTATGTGTCTATGTATGTGTATCTGTTGTGTGTCACACACGCGAGTGAGTGGCACACAGAGAATTAGTTCTGGAGTGACAGCAGGGGCTGCCTGTAGGAGGCAGAACTAAGAACTAGACCGTGTGTCCCATCCCCGCCGTCTTGCAGTGTGGCTGCAGCTGTGGTGGATGGTCCTGTGAGCACTTGGCTTCCCCGTCCCCGCCAGCGTTCTGCCCCTCCTGGCCACCCATCCTGCCCTGGGAGCTTGCTCAATCCATGGGGAAGGAAAGTGAAAGCCTGGGGCAGTCCTCTGTGGGGTCCACCAGGGCACAGGACACCAGTGGGCAATTCTGGACCACATTCTGTACATTTCTTGCATGTTATGTTCATTGCAGTGGCTGCAATGACACACCTATATATGGACCTGTCCCTTCCCTGTCTGTCCTGCTGTCCCAGCTCCCTGGGGTCATCTGTACCTAAGGTCTTCTGGTTTGGAGAGAACAAATTAAGATAGACATTTAGCATTTTTCCATACTCTTTTCTGTAAAAATGATCATACATACATTTTATATATATATATATATATGGACTTTTCTTTTTTTAAGGGGAAAAAGAAAACCCACTGACACTTCAAACACTAGCCCCTCCCACCAGGGCTGGATGACTTGCCCATTCCTTCCTCCTAGGCCCCATGGCTGGATGGCTTGTCCATTCCTTCCTCCTACGCCCCGCTTCCACCATGGCTGGATGGCTCACCCATTCCTTCCTCCTAAGAGCTTAGTGCATACAAAACACTGTTCTGCCTTGATCCCTGTATCCATAATGCCCAGGAGAATCACTTGCTTCCCTTCCTCCCTAGGCTGCTGGGGAGCTCGGGCTACATCCAGCATTCCATTGCAGGAACCCTCCTTAGCCTAAGTCTCCTGGCACAAATAGCACCCTCCTCCACCCCAGCTTGTACATGGCTCCATTTGTCCTTTTCCCAGATGCCCAATGGAGGGCAGTACTGTGACTCCTGGTGGGCAGGCAGAGGGTGAGCAGAGAGGGGCTGAGGCATTTCTTCCTGGTGCCTTCTTGCTTAGAAGCCCCTTCTCTGGCAGCAGCTCTGCCCTACAAAATGACAGCTCCCCGGGCAGCCCCTCCTCTGTGCTCAGTGGTGGTTCTGACTGTCTCCCCAAAGCCCGTCACTCTGGTCCCGGGGGTGGTGATGAAGGCCACTAGATAAAATGAAGAAGGCCCACTTAAGTATAAATTCCAGAAAAAGAACAAATAGGTATTGCATGTACATCCAAGTACTGTATGGGACATACTTATGCCCAAAAAAACAAAACAAAACAAAACAAAAAAACCACTTAAAAAATTTTATCTAAAATTCAAATTAAATGGGGAATCCTGTCGTTTTATTTGCTCTGATACCCCCTGAAGTGACAGATTCTGTTTGCTGTGGTTGGTCTCTGGGCATGCTGAGTACCTCCCCTACCCTCACTGGTTCCTCGTGGGTTCCATGATCCTGCCTACATCTGTAAAGATCCATTCGGTAAGTAATGAACACAGCGACATGAATTCTGTTTCTAGCTGAGATCCTGACAGGTACGACAGCTCTTGTTCTGTGAGCCTTGTCGTAAACATTTTTCTGCATGAGGGTCATATTTCAAGTGGCTTCGGTCTCAGGGGAAGCAGAGTGATGTCACAGCTGCGAACGGCGAGACTCTGGGCTACAGCCCTACTTACTCAGGGCTGGGGCACCTGACACTCCCCCTGCCTTGGTCTCTGCTAGCCTCCCGTCAGAGACACCTTTCCAGGGAAACCTTCCCTGCCCACTGAGCTACACTCCCAGGCTCCCTCAACCCCATCGCCCCATAACAAGCCTGCGTCACGTGACCACTCTCTGATGCCCCCTAATTTACTGTTCCGTTTTCCCACCTGTACCTTAGCTCTGTGACTGCAGGGGCCTTACTGGTCTTGGCCAAAAACACATCCCCCATGACCCTCTCATGTGCTCAATAACTCAAGAAATGAATAAATGAGGGCAAACATCAGGAACGTAGACAGAAAGAGGCTCTCTCTGCCTTGCCCCCTTCCTAAAAACACTGCTGTCATCAAATGTCCCTTAGTCTGCAAACGCGGGTGAGTTTTGGGCTGTGAACATCAGTACCCACATCACATCCTGAACACCATCATCCCCTCAATTTGCTTCCTTACACACGCAAGGCTTGCCTGAACTGGGGCGCTGCTCTAATGGGTCTGAGGAGGCAGGAGGGAGTTCTGGAACACGCACTGTCTTGGATTCCCCACCCAGCCCCGATAATGGCTTTTCTCGAGCGAGTTTCTCGGTAGCTGCAGCTGCAGAAGCACAGACAGGTACAGTTGCCATGATACGGCCGTTGTGGTAATTTAGCCTCAGAGCTCTGGCTCCCCTGGAATAATTTAACGATCTGTCGTGGGAAGGGAGGAAGGAGGACAAGTGTGGTGTGGCTTGGTGTCTCCACCTCCAAAAAATAATCTAAGTTTCCGTAGCCAGAGGAGGCCCACGGCTGGGGAGATGGAAGAGTGAGAACAGTTTTTCCAGGACCCAGGTGGGAATGCCTGACTTCTCTACTTTTGGGGGAGGAAACAAGTGAATTAAAAAAATGGCAGGGACATCTACACCAAACGTTGTCTTCCTCTGGCCACTAGTTACCTCCCTTTTGCATCCAGAGCCTGGAGTGTCTTTCTTTAAAGTGACAGCTTATATTAATAAAAACCCTGACGTGGCAGCCTCTCTCTTTCCCTCAAGGGCCCATTTCATGGAAGACGAAACTACGGCCAGACAGGAAGGCAAAACGCTGCCATCTCTGCTAACAAACACTTTGGAGGATGGGTGTGAACAACTGTCCTGGCTCCCTGACTTAAGAGGAGGTCTCTTTCACAGGCTGGACAAAATCCTTCCTTGTGAAAACCACATGTTGCTTCCTTGCAACACCAACTCTTGGAAAGAACTGAGGCCTGGTAGTGTCTCTTCCGGAGGCCCAGTTATTCTGTGGGGTAGAAGCAAAGCCTTCCTGCAGAGACGACCCACATGCCCTCCACCCATGGGGGTGCACACGCACCCTGACCGTCACTAATTGTGCTGCTGGCCACTCGGTACAGCTGGGTCCTCTTATAACGGAGCTTCTGTCCTCAAATCCTCCAGGCCCCCATGGGCAAGTCACAGAGTCCTGGTGGCCCCTGTTCTCTGGGAGTTCTGTCAGCTCATGTGCTCTCCCCTCTAAGGGGAGAAGGGCTCTGGCAGCTGGGCTGAGGACACAGTGAAGGGCAGGTGTGTAGGAGAGATAGGTGCTGGGACCTCATGGCTTGGGGTGAAAAGAAAGAGAACCCCATTCCTCTTGCATAGGACAGGCACCAGGTGTCTTAAGGAGGACATGGTTCTCTCTGTCTCAACTGGCCATTGAGAGTTGTCCCAAACCTGGCCTGTGGGGCTCAGTGACCTTGAGCAAATCACTCACACCCTGTGTGAAGTGGAGGAATGGCCTAGCCACCTCCATGGGAGTTCAAGGCTCTGTAAACCTTAAAGCATGATCCTAAATCACCAGAATTCTGTGTTCTAGAAAACTCTTCCTCCTCCAAGGTAAAGAATCAGCATATTTTATTTGAAAGGAGCTCTAGGCTCATAGTAAAAGGAATCTCAAGATGAACGACTGGCACAGCCTGCTCAGTACTGAAAAGAGCCAGAGAAGGCCCTGGAGCTGAGTGGATTCTAAATGAGAGCTGGAGGCACGGGGGGAGGGAGAAGACTGAGAATTATGGGAAGCGGGGCCCATGCCGAGCCCAGGGGTGGCTCCAAGGAGCGGCTTGGGGTATCTTAACCCTCTGGACTCCCATTAGCCCCTCCCCAGCCACCCAAAATCTACATAAAAGCATGTGCTTACTGGGCAAATGGAGCTCCCTGGCAGGTACCCTCAGATGACCCACAGCATTGGAGAAATTCTGGAGCCACTAAGAGTCCAGAGATACAAGAGTTCAAGCCCCAGCTTTTATGCTGAGTCTGCAAGCCCTGTGTGGTCACGTTGTCAATAATAAAGCAGCCCTCTTTTTCCCAGGAGAGGCAGTTGCTGGCAACATGAAGCCCTTGGGATGCCTTGAAAAAATTGCCAAGCCTAAACATTTTTGGGAAAAGGCAAAAGGAGAGAAAGAGAGACAGAGAGAGAGAGAGAGGGAAGGAGAGAGAGACAGACAGAGAGAGGTTGTAGGGAACGAGGGAGAAAAAACAGAGAGATAACTTTGAGGAACAGGACATGCAAAAGGCAGGTCATCGCCTCTAAAGAAAACTCCTGCCCAGAAATTTCAAGAAGTCACCTGTGGCTACCAGAGTGACAGTGACAGTAGGAAATGGTGAACAGACTGATTGCAGGTGGTGTTCTGGACAACGCAGCCTGGGCTGGGGGTGGCCAGTTCTGGCAAGAAAGCAAGAAAGCAAGAGAGGCTGCTGTCTAGTGCAGACAGAACCCTCTTTGATGCCACATGTGGGTCAGGGTGTCTGCTGGAATTAACTGGCTGAGCTATCAGTCAAGGAAGAGGGAAAAGAAGGGGCTTATCAAATACTGAGAAAGACCCTCTTGTAGTCCATCTTCTCTTTTCTTCTGGAAGGTAGTAGCAGAACACTGCACACTAATAGGGCAGACTGACTGACTCCAAATTCTCAATCACAAAGACAGCTATTATCTTCTATAACCAGTGATTCCACAATAGTGCCTACAGATATTTTTCCCATTTTACAGATGAGGAAATCAGGCAGGTTAGGTAACCTGGCCAAGGCCATGAGACTGATCAGCGTTGAGCTGGGATTTGGACCCAGGTCTGTCTGGTTTCTGAGTCTCTGCTCTTTCCCATGATGCCATCCTGCTGTAGATGGGGCCACTGTGGGAACTCAATTGCCTGTCCACCAGCCCTGGATAACAGGAGGAGGTTTCTCACTGCCTGAGAAGACAGCTATAAACATGAATAGGGGGAAGTAGAGAATGAACCCTGTAATATAACCCTGGATAGGAACTGGAGGTATCAGTGTGAACTCATGATTTTAATACAGATACAGAAATAGAAATAGAGATAGAAGCATATGCATCTGTGTGTGTATTTAAAAATATATACATGTTGGGCACAGTGGCTTACGCCTGTAATCTCAGCACTTTGGGAGGCTGAAGTGAGAGGACAGCTTGAACCCAGGAGTTCAAGACCAGCCCAGGCAACATAGGGATACTCCATCTCTACCAAAAAAAAAAAAAAACAAAAAACTCGCCAGGCATGGTGATGCAAGATTGTGGACCCAGCTACTCAGGAGGCTGAGGTGGGAGGATCGCTTGAGCTAGGAGTTTGTAGCTGCAGTAGTCCATTATAGCACCACTGCACTCCAGCCTAGGTGACAGACCAAGACAATATCTCAAAAAAAAAAAAGTATACACACACACACACACACACACACACACACACACACGTACTTTTTGCTAAGACAGGTTGGTTCTCAATCAGGCAATTTTGCCCCTGTCCCCACCTCTATTCCTGCAGGACATCTGGCAATGTCTGGAGGCATTTTTAGTTGTCATTTTTTGGGTGCTACTGGCCTCTCTAGTGGGTAGAGGCCAGGGATGCTGCTGACCATCCCATAATGCACAGAACGGCCTCCCACCACAAATAATTATTCAGCCCAAGATGTGCCAAGGTTGGGAAACTCCGTACTGGAGGCAAGGAGACCCTGTAGCCATGAGCACACCTGGCACCCAGATCTTGGCTTCTAAGTACCATCACCCACTGCAGAGAACTAGGGCTCCCTGGAGAAATGGCTGATTCCAGGTTGGCACTGAGAAAGTACAAGATGAATCTGAAATATCTCCATAGAAAACACTTAAGAAAGAATAACTTAAGGGTCGAAAAAAAAAGATGGGGACACATTGAAAGGACACAATCTACCTTGAAGGGGTTCCCACTGGTCAAATTGGGGACAATTTGCAAAACAAAATAAATAATGATAATAATGGTTTGTAACTCATTAAATAAAATAACCACTGACCCCACACTGATAAAAAAATAAGAAAATAAATAACTATGAGGAAACGGAATGTGGAGAAAAGCCCTTCCCGGGGGAGAATACCCACTAATAAATGTCATGTGGGAGGAATGATGGAATTACACAATCATCAGTTGGCCACCAGCACAGTGATGCATAATTCAGGTAAGGATCTTCAGTGGAAGCTAAAACTAGTAAAGTGAGTCCACACACAGGATATTTTCAGGGTCCTGAACTATCTTCCAACATATTTCTTAATTACAAAGGGACAAATAGTAAGTTAGTGGAGAAAACCTGGCTGAAACTACTTTAACCAAATGATCAAAGATAACATCACCAGCAATGGGACAAATCTTCGGTATTTCTATGTGAGAATCCTAACCAATCCAATCAGGACGAATCATCCCACAAACCCAATCGGGGAACTTCTACAAGGCAACTGGCTTGTACTTTTCAAAACTGTCAGGGTCGTGAAAAAGAAAGCAATACAGGGTAACATTTCCAAAATTAAAGAAAACTAAAGAGACATGAAAATGGAATGTAACGTGTGGTTCTGGATGGGGTTCTGAATCAGTTGTTTCCGGTTCTATGGAGGACATTATTAGAATAAGTGGTAGCATTTGGAATAAGATCTATAGATAAGATAACATTGTCTCTAGGTTAATTTCCTGGTTTTGATAACTGTACTATAACGTATAAAAAGGATCTTGTTTTTTTTAAACAATATACTTTTAGATATTTACTGGTGAAGTAGGGTCATCTATGAAACTTACTTTCAAATGGTTCAGAAAAACCAGTATGGGAATATAGAGAGAATGATAAACATTAACTTTGGGGAATATGAGTGAAGGGTATCTGGAACTCTTTATAATATTCTTGCAACTTTTCTATATGTTTGAATTTTTTTTAAGTTAAAATAAGTTTAACATCATATGCTTTTATATTGCTCCTCTCAGCTTTGCCTTTTTTTTTTTTTTTTTTTGAGATGGGGTCTCTCTCTGTCGCCCAGGCTGGAGTGCAGTGGTGCAATCTTGGCTCACTGCAAGCTCTGCCTCCCGGGTTCATGCAATTCTCCTGCCTCAGCCTCCCAAGTAGCTGGGACTACAGGCTCCCCGCCACCATGCCCAGCTAATTTTTTTTGTATTTTTAATAGAGACAGGGTTTCACCATGTTAGCCAGGATGGTCTCTATCTCTTGACCTTGTGGTCCGCCTGCCTCAGCCTCCCAAAGTGCTGGGATTACAGGCGTGAGCCACCGCCATTCTGTTGCCCAGGCTAGAATGCAGTGGCGTAACCACAGCTCACTGCAACCTCTGCCTCATAGGCTCAAGTGATTCTCCCACCTCAGCCTCCAGAGTAGTTGGGACTACAGGCATGCACCACCATGCCCGGCTAATTTTTAAATTTTTTATAGAGATGGAGTTTCACTATGTTGTCCATGCTAGTCTCAAACTCTTGGGCTCAAGTGATGCACCCGCCTCTGCCTCCCGAAGTGCTGAGATTAGAGGTGTAAGCCACCGCGACTGGCCAGCTTTGCCATTTTAACCAGTGACAGACCCAGGCCCGTTAAGATAGATGCAGACTCCTCTAAAGCTTTTTTGAATAAGTAATCACATAAAGTAATGCATGAACAGCTGCAATGGAGTCTTACTCCTGTGCTAGATAAAGGCTCAGCTCTGCATAGTCCACCATGGACCTTGCAACTGTGGTGTGGCCTTTCTCAGTAGTTTGGACCTAACAGGCACTTTTCACAATGCGGTTTTGTTTTGTTTTTGCTTTTGTTTTTGTTTTTGTTTTTGTTTTAACCCAAAGATTTGCTCTTGTCTTGCATGAGGAAAAAACACTCATTTTCTTTGGATGGAGATCCTATGGGTCCACCTCCAAGAGAATCCATTAGTTCCAACTTTAACACGAGTTTCTCAAACAGTAAACATCACACAGGCCACGCAGCCCAAGGACAGACGGGTCTGGGTGTGCAAGCGCAGAGGACTTTAGAGATGAACACCTGTTTCTCAGAGGAATGCAGAAAGCCTGCGCTGAGAGGGAATTCCGTGTTCATCTACACCAGGGTTTGGCAAACTGTACCGCCTGTTTTGTACAGCCATCGAAGCAAGGGTGGTTTTTACATTTTTAAAATATTTTGGGGGAAAAAAATCACAAGAATAACATTTTGTGACACAAGAAAATCATATGAAATTCCAATTTCATCGTCTATGATACAGATTTACTGGAAGAGCCACACCTACTTGTTGACTTCTTGTCTTTGCTTTTTGAGCTGTAGGCAGAGTTGGGTAATCCTGATGGAGAGCTGGGGGCCCACAAAGCTAAAACTCTTCACTGTCTGGCCCTTTATGGATAAATTTGACAATCTCTGATCTAGAGGAGCCTTTCTCACCCATGGCTGCCTATCTGAATCACCTGACAGGGAGTGTTTTAAAAAATGCCAACACTGGCTGGGCGCAGTGGCTCATGCCTGTAAATCCCAGCACTTTGGGAGGCCGAGGTGGGCACATCACGAGGTCAGGAGATCGAGACCATCCTGGCTAACACAGTGAAACCCCGTCTCTGCTAAAAATACAAAAAATTAGCCAGGCGTGGTGGCATGCACTTGTGGTCGCAGCTACTCGGGAGGCTGAGGCAGGAGAATCGCTTAAACCCGGGAGTGAGGTTGCAGTGAGCCGAGATCGCACCACTGCACTCCAGCCTGAGCAACAGAGCAAGACTCCATCTCAAAAAAAAAAAAAAAAAGAAAAAAGAAAAAAGAAAAAGCCAACATCTAGTAGATCTGATTTCACTGATCTTGGGTGGGCCTCAGGCACCCAACCTTTTTGTGTGTGACAGGGTCTTGCTCTGTCACCCAGGCTGGAGTGCAAATGGTGCGATCTCAGCTCACTGCAACCTCTACCTCCTGGGTTCGGGTGATCCTCTTACCTCAGCCCCCTGAGTACCTGGGACTACAAGAGTGCACCAACATGCTCAGCTAGTTTTTAAAATTTTCTGTAGAGGTGAGGTCTCACTACATTGCCCAGGCTGTTGTTGAACTCGTGGGCTCAACTGATCCTCCTGGCTTGGGCTCCCAAAGTGTTGAGATTACAGGTGTGAGCCACTGTGCCTGGCTCATCCCAACTTTTTACAAGTCCCTGAGGCCACCTGGATGCATAGCCAGACCTGTGGTTAGCTCCCTGGACTTGCTCCTCCCACTCCCTGGCCAACCATCAGAAAGCTGGAGAAAGACAGCGAGAGAACAGAATGCTGCTCTATTAAGAATCTGAGTCAGGGGCCTCTGCCAGCATGTGCACTGCTTTTAGTGAAAAAAAACTCAATGCTTTACAAACATTCCCTTTGAAATGACATTATATAACCAATCTGTTTAATGACATAACAAATAACAGAATCCCGTGGAAGCTGACATCACATCCGTCAAAGACTATTTGGTTCTGCTTTGCAACCACTTTGTAGATTTCAGCCCAAATCTCGACTGGCTTTAAACCTTGACCTTCTAAGTCCACATTCCAGTGGCCACTGTCTCATCTGTCAATGTGGGGCCCATAAAGAACACTCTTCACTGTCCACATGATTTTAGGTTCTTCCCAGGAACAGTATGACAATTTCCGTATATTGTATATGATTTTTTTCAAAGCCCCTTTATGTACATTCTCTTAAGATTCTTAAGAGAAACATGTGAGAGGACAGGCATCAGTTCCCCCATTCAACAGATGAGGAAACTGAGGTTCCCAGAAGAGCAGTGCTCAGCAGAGCAGTTACAAGCAGAGACTGGCCTCTGCCAGGGCTGGACTTTCAACCTGTCTTCCCTGCATTTTAGCTGTAGGCAGGGACACTGCCTCTGTAAGCTGTAATTCCCGTCTTCATCTCTCAAATGGAGGTAAAAACTTCAACCTCATGGGACTATTGTGAGGACCAAAGGGATATTAGAGAACTTAGCTTGGCGTTTGGCATGTGGTCAGCACTAGAAAAATAAAATATAGATAGAAATAAAGGCAGTGGTTCTTAACGGGTGGTACTGCCCCCCTGAAAGCCTTTGGGGGGCTCTTCTGGACGTCGCAATGACTGTGATCATGGCTGGTATTTAGTGGGTGGTGGCCATGCATGTGAAATGCCCACAGGCAGAGGACAGCCCTCTCCCCGCATGCCAACAGAAACACTGGGATGCTCCCGGCTCCTCTGCTGTTTCCTCCACACATTTCCCTCTGGTCCTTTCCCTACAGGCCACAGTCTCTCGGCCCCATCTGTCCTGTGCACTGTAGGGTGTTGAGAAGCACCCCTGGCTTCCATCCACTAGATGCCAGCAGCACCCTTCAGGTTGCAACAACCAAAAGTGACTCTAGACATTTCCAAATGTCCCCTGGCAGGCAAAGTGCCCTGGTGGATCAGCACTGCTATGGGGAAAGGCACATCCCGAGCTGCAGTTCCCTTCAGCTCTCAGGAACCCACAGGCAAGGAGAACCCACAGGAATGTGGGAGCTGCACTCTGTAAAACCCAACTCAGCTCAGCCCCAAACCTGGGCAAAGCAGCTGAAGCCTGAGTCAATCTGGGGAAATTTTGGGGGTAGCAAACAAAAATGACACATGGTCTCCCTCATCTGGAACACAAAGATGGCATTCTCCTGCAGTCACTCTGCCTTTAAGACCAGCCCCACGGGTCCTCAGTTGAAAGCAAAAGTGTGCCTGCTTCCTGATCACCACACATCTGCTTTCTAGTGTCGCTGACATTTGTTTTTCATACTAAAAAAACAAAAACAAACAAACAACAAAAAAAAAAACAAAAAGACCCCAAAACCCAAACAAACAACGAATTTTAAACTGCTTAGGTGAAAGGAAGAGAATATAAAGCATTATTTATTCCTTTGCCTGGATGCACGGCTCTTGGAAAGAAACACATGTGGAACGATTTATTTTATGGCTAGAGGAGTCTTCGAGGAAGAAGGGAAAATACATGCATTCCATTGCATTTCAATCAAGCTGAGGGGGAAAAAAAAAAACAAAGAAAAGGCGTAATCGATCAGAGAGCCTCAGCGCTCAGATCCGCACCCTCCTTCTCCAGCTCCCCAGCTCCCTGCTCCAAGGCTGCAGCTACCTCCGGCTTTCCGGGCTGGAGCCCAGGCAGCTGGGAGCCTGGGAGTGGTAACCTCGCTAATTCAATAAATGAACTCTGACAAGCCTAAATGGTTGTTTGGATGGATCCTCTCTCATTCCCCCCTCCCTCGCTGCCCAAAACCTCAAATAAAATAAATTAAATAAAACACTAGACACAATCTGAGTCTTTTACGGCCGCCTTCTCTAGTGGGAGTCAGAAAAATGCTAATGATTCTGGGGCTGCCGGAGCTGAGCCAGGCTGGCTCTGGGCCGTGAGTGGCCGGGGTGTTTTCCCTTCCTCTGCTCTGCTGTTTTCTTTTCCTCCCCTGGCACCCCCTTTCCTCCCTGCCTTGCTCTCTGGTGGGGGCAGGGGTGGGCTGGAATATTATTCAGCATCCTGCCATAGGTGTCTGCAGCCAATCGGAGGCGATGGCAGCCGCTTGCACCTTGCTGACAGTTGCTGTCAAAATACTCTCACAACCGGCAGCTCGATAATAACTCGAAAATGAGATACAAATGAGTGACTCTTCATGAGTGGAACACGCTGCCGATCACCCCCACCCCACTGGCTTCCGAGTGTATCGGGGAATGTTCAGGGATGGCAGAGAGAAGCTCTGGCCACGGTGGAGAGACTGGTTGAAAAACAAAAACCAACCAGCTAGAAGTGCTGGCTTCTCCCCATTCCATGTCCCTAGGGCAAGGCAGGGGTGTCCCACAGAACTTCAGAACAGTTCCGAGATCCTTCTCCCAAGGGATGCTGTGTGCTCCCCAATGCAAATGGATGTGCCTGTGGAATATATATAATTTTTGAGACAGGGTGTTGCAGTGTTGCCTGGCTGGAGAGCAGTGGCGCGATCACAGCTCACTGTAGCCTCAAACTCTCAGGCTCAAGCCATGCTCCCACCTCAGCCTTCCGAGTAGCTGGGACTATAGACTACAGGTGCATACCACTATGCCTGGCTAATATTTCAATTTTTTTTTTTTTTGTAGAGACAGGGTCTTGCTATGTTGGCCAGGCTGGTCTCAAACTCCTGGCCTTAAGGGATCCTCCTGCCTCAGCCTACCAAGGTGTTGGGATTACAGGCATGAGCCACCAGGCCTGGCCTTGATGGAATATTTAGGTGGAAACAACCCATGGGGCTATTTCCTAGCCACCAATTTAGGAAGGGCTGCATCAGGATCCCCAGCAAGAGAAAAGAACCTTCTTCCCAGGAAACATCCCGCCATCTCCTGCCCTGTCCTGTTGTCCACAGGTGGGACGCTGGTTGCTTTTATTCATCCAGCCAACTCTCTCTTGCTCAAACTTGGGCTGTTCCTCCCATGGGGAAGTCAACATTAGCACAACTTGTTTAGAAAAGCACCAATAAGCCCCAGGGAGTACAAAGAGTGTGGTCAGCACTTTTCCACATTTCTCCAGCAGGGAGGGGGCTGACAGCAGGAGAGGGCAGAGACTCAGGCAGATCTTAAACTTCTTTCCCATTTGCCAGGGTTGGTTTGGACCTGGCATCACTCTCTGCTTCTCAAGGCAGAGCTGGAATCGTCCAGGTGGACAGGGAGGAAGGGGCTGTCATGTTCACTTACTTGAGGATATAGTAAGTCTCTGAAAATTGCAGAGCGCACACCACATCCATCCAGGAGGCTTAGAGGCCCTTAAAAAAAATTCACTGACTTTTTCTTTTTAATAATAGACCATTTTGGGTTGCAGCTACTGCTCTGCTATATTAACAGAAGCCAAGGTGATGGTTCAGGCTGGGATGAAAAAAGATAAAACTTTTGCGAACACGCCTCTGTTAAAGGGACTTGATTTAAATTTCAGGTAGGCAGAGTATAATTGCCCCACGAAGTGTAATCACACTGCCTGGATTCAAACCTCTCCAATGTGATTCCCTCTGTCTTCCCGCTCATTTCCCTGTAGAAAGCCTTTGTTCCTCCGTCGTGTGTCGGGTAAACACTGAGATCATTCTGCTTGTATGTGACAACGCACATCCTGAATAACCCTGTCTGTGTCACCCGTGTCTACTTTAAATAGTAAACTCCTGTAAAGAAAGGATCAGCCCGGTGTAACTTACTCTGTGAGCTGAGCCATTATAGAAGGCTTTTAAGCACTGCACTTGGAAGGATAAGAGGCTCTCAGCATCCTATGAATAGGTGAGATGCCTATTTGGGGGTTACATCAAGCCTCACCTACAAAGCCAGGCAAAGAACACAGACTAGAACTCAGGCTCGGGCCTCGGTTCTGCCACTTAACCAGCCACGAGACCTCAGGTGAGTCACTTAACCTCTCTGACCTGCTATCTCCTCATCTGTGCGGTGGTGATATTAATACCAGCCCTGCCTCCAGAGGCATAGGAAAAAATGATGGGGCAAGGCAGACAGAAACAGGATTGCTATTGTTGCCCAGTGGGGACTGGGGTGGTTTTCTTTGGCATTTGCTCAATTTCCCAAACTCTCAGGAATGAGATTCGTTTTATAATCAGGAGAAAGAATTTTGAAAGAGTAAAACTTTGACTTGCTAATAGGGTAAGATTCAAAAGAGTTTTGTGTATGAAAGAGTTTTGAAATGATATAAAGTGCTGGGCAAAAAGACAGCAGAGCAGTATTGTCCTGGCTTCGTTTAATGCGATTAGGTTTTTAAAAGGGTCAGCTTTGGAGTTAAAGAGGAATGCTGAACAGAGACGGGGAAGAGAGAATGCAGACAGCCACTCAAAAGGTTTATTAAAAGTGAAATGGGTCTTGAGTTTGAACCTGAGTATCTCATGAAACACCCTCCTCGCCCTCCCCTGACAACTGTGATAGAGCAATGAACAGCTGTCTTATTTTGAAGAAATATTTTTTCTTCTGATTCTAAAGTGGTATCCGTGTTCGGTGCAGGTAATTTGCCAAATGCACAGTAATATGGGGGAGGAAATAAAAAGTGCCTAAAAACTCACCAATAATGATCTTTATTTTGGGTGCATTTCCTTCCAGTCTTTTTTTCTATGCATATATGTCTATGCGGGTCTACTCAATGACCACACTGTAACTATTGATTTTTTTTTTTTTTTTAATAAGAGAGATGGGGTCTTGCTCTGTCACACAGGCTGGAGTGCAGTGGTGCAATCATGGCTCACAGCAGCCTCCAACTCCTGGGCTCAAGCCATCCTCCCACCTCAGTCTCCTGAGTAACTGGCACTACAGACACATGCCACCATACCTGTCTAATTTTTAATTTTTTGTAGAGACACACTGGTCTTGAATTTCTGGGTTCAAGCAATCCGCCTGCCTCAGCCTCCCAAAGTTCTGGGATTACAGGTGTGAGCCACCACACCTGGCCACCTAATTTTTAACTTTTTTGTAGTGACATGCTGTTCTTGAACTTCTGGGCTCAAGCAATCCGCCCGCCTTGCCCTCCCAAAAGTGCTGGGATTACAGGTGTGAGCCACCGCGGCTGGCCTACTGTTTTGATTCTTGCTTTCTTCCCTTGATTGCTGGATGGAAAAGCATTTCTCCTCGCAGTAACATTCTTGATAAACACTGCGGATGTCTTTTCCTTCCATCATTTAGCCCGCCCTGTCTCACTGCTGAACACTGGTAGTGTTTCTAATTTTTTGCTATCATAAGCAACCCACCATTGAAGATCCTCCCATTTAAAAACTTTGTCCACATTTCCAATTATTTCTTTAGAATAGAGCTCTAGGAGAAGAATCATTAGATCAAAAGGTATCAGCGTTTTAAAGAATCTAGATCCGTGCTGCCCAATATGGCAGCCTCTGCCATATGTGACTAAAATGAGAAAAATACAGGTTTTTGGCTCTTTCAATTGACATTGAGTAAAGTGAAAATTCAATTCCTCAGTCACACTTGCCAGATTTCAAGTGCTCAGGAGCGACACAGGGCCAGCAGCTACTGTACTGGACAGCGTAGATGGAGAGTATCTTTATTGCGGCAGAAAGTTCTAATGGATGGTGTTGTCTCGGCACACACAACAGTCAGAGCGCAGGCGAGCAAGGTGGGACAAGCTTGGCACTGAAGATCAGCACTGAGCACTCCACCTTTTCCTGGTCTGCACCACCTTCTCTCTTTCATAGCTCCCTTTTCTACCTCTTTCTCTCCACTTATGAGTTAGGCCAAGATGTCTCAAGACTTTCCGGCAACACATCTTTCCCCTTCCCCTGAATGGTAGGTGAGAGGAGCACACACTTCAGAGGCTCAGGGGGTGTGAGTCAAAGTCATCTTGTGCTTATTTTAACCCTGCATGCCAACTTTGCATCCTGTTCCACAACAGGGCAGTATGTGTGCAGTAACATTCAAAAAATAAGTTTGTGCTATATTACTGAGTAAAACTGATGCTGCAAGAGGCTAAGCCTTGTTAATCTTGAAGTTTTAGGTACCAAAATACAAACAGAACATGCCCTCTCCAGCCTGAGAAATAACAGGCTTAATCTAGGCTGTCAGAACCCCTGGCACCCTCTGAGGGAGGGGCATCTCTTTAGAGGGCTGGGTGGCAGAGTAAGAGTTAGCAGGCACAGTGCCTCTCCCCTTTCTTGCTTTGGTTGCTAGGGAGCTCTGATTGAAGTTTTGTGCCCCTTTATAAACATACTCCTCAGACTGGGGGTTGCAATGTAATTTTCTTTCAACTGACATTTTTCTCAAATTCTGCAGGGATGAATTAAGGTCTTAATTATTCTGGAAGTAGATGAGGAATCTACCTGCTTACAGAGCTGCATTTTCCTGAAAAGGGAATAATAAGCTACAAATCTACTTCTCCAAATGAAGGTCTGGGCTAGGACTCAAAGCCTGTGCTATCTGAGAGCAGAGTCCAAGCACTGGCTGAAGTGCTTTGCAGACAGTCAAGTGGGACACACCCTTGTGCGACGACACTAAGGCCACGACTGGGACAGCCACATGCCTGACCATTTTGATATTGGACAGGGGCTGTCCTTCACCTGAGCAAAGCACTTCCCCAAGCCTGCTCTTCTGGCCAGAGGACAAGGCCCATCGCAGGGGACGTGGCACACAATGAGAACCACTTAGGCCAGCAGCCAGGGAACTTCACTCATCAAGGCTTCTGTGCAGCATGCACAGTGATAGTTGATATTTGCAAGGATGAAACAGGGCCCAGCAGGTCCTGAATCACCTTCTGGATCATCAAAGATTTCAATTACACTCCATCGAGTTCCCATGTTAAGTATATTTTATTATATTTGAATTCCCTGGAAAGTGGCCATCTATGGTATTGATGGTAACTCTCCATTAACCTGCAAGGTGGCCTGCCAGGAAGACCAATGCCTCATCTTGGTTGGGCGGGAGAGAGTGTGTGTCAGTCCACGAGGGATGATGGGGCAGGGAAGGTGAGCTGCTGGGAGGGAAACAGTCAGGACCACCTCTCAACCATACAACATGCCCGGCTCCAAACCCACTTTCCTTATCTGTGAAATGGGCTGCCTGGCCTCCTGAGAGTGAAGGATACGTACGGCATTATGAAAGATGAGGAGAGTTACATGGGTGAAATAGGCAAGATTGCCAGACACATGTCAGAGAGGGGAAGACGCCTAACAATACAGAAAACACGACATCATTTTCTCTAAATGGACACAACACTATCACATCCGTCGCCTACAGGTTCACATATGTACAAAATGCAAAGACAAAGATCTAGAAGGAGATTCGCAAATGAGTGGCATGAATTTCTCCAGGGAGGAGGGTGGCACAAGACTTGGGTGGCAGTGGATGAAAGGATATCTTGGCCTTAAATTTTACTTTCAGCAAGGAAAACATATTCATGTTTTAATTGTGCAACTACATTTTTTAAAAAAGAAAAAATCTTATATATAGGATATATACTATATATCTATTGGATTATATATAGAATATATACTATAGCTATATATAGGATTACATATAGGATATATTTTATATATGTGTATATATAAAAATCCAATATATACATTTCGTTCTCTCTCAAATATACATGTACATATCTATGTATCTCTCTATACACATATCTATAGATATATATGTAGAGAGGAGAAAGGGAGAGAGAGCTCATGTGTGCTGGGTGCATGGTAGGGGTACAATAAAGGATGAACGATTATAATTAGGCTGTTTTTGAATGTCAAAGATGACCACATATTAGCATTTTTCTGTAATTTAACCTGTCAACTGTCAGCTAAAGGGCACCCCAATCCATGAGGTCGCTGGAGGTAGCTAGAATGAGGATGGAAGTGAAAACAAAACAAAGCAAACCAAAGAGAAACATCCTGGGCCCTGGGTCCACCTATCTTCCCTGTAATGTGCTTTGTTCGCTTGCCCCAGAGCAGGGAAAACCAGGCAAATTCTCCGGAATGCAGCGGCCCCATCACGTGAGGTGCTTAGAGCTCCAGGGAATTTCTGGGCTCGGGGGCATGTCCGCCTTAAAGGTTCAGGCCCAGGCTGTCCCCACAGGCTCCGCCCCCCATGGGAGGGGAGCCACACCCTGGCTCCAACCTGGAGGACCAGCTCTTGCCAGGAACACTGGGAGGCACAGACATTACAGTGAAGAAAATTAATTTTCTTCTGAGACTTTTATGTTTTGGATGCTCTTGTGACACCCCATTGAGATGGCTGCAGGCAGGCTGGGTTTTTTCCCGAAATCTGGGCTGAGAAATCCATGTTCTGAAATGCATTTTACAAGAGAACAGAGGTGAGGAGAGGGAAGGCGGGAGGAATGGTGAATAACCCTGGATACCAATCCCAGCGCCTCCAAGACGATGGTGAAATGTACGAAGAGTCGAAACAAAATGGAATCTTGAGGCCAGCACAGCCTTTCTGGCTCTATTACAACAAAAGAACCTCTCCTATTTATTGAGTGCTGATTTTGCACCAAACACTAGGCTGCAGGATCTTTTCATGGCACTCCTAGGCCGAAAGAAATACCTAACAGTTTGTTTATTAAGTAGTTAGGGCTAAACAACTTGACAGTAGCAGTTTACACCATCTCTGACAGATGTGGCTGTTTTTCCTCAGAAATCTGAAATAGCCCACAGGAAAGGTGTCAGTTCACTGTGGCACCCTGAGGTGCCTTGGTACACAGTTTGGGAACCATGGCTTTGGGCCAATGGCTTTACTTGTTACTTTACTGAGCCCTCCCAATAGACCCGGCAAGTATTTATTATGATCTCCATTTTATAGATGCAGATACTGACAGTCAGTGTTTATTTTTTTATTTTTTGAGATAGAGTCTCGCTCTGTCGCCCAGGCTGGAGTGCACTGGTGTGATCTCAGCTCACTGCAACCTTTGCTTCCTGGGTTCAAGCGATTCTCCTGCCTCAGCCTCCCAAGCTGGGATTACAGGCGCCCACCACCATACCCAGCTAAGTTTTGTATTTTTAGTAGAGATGGGGTTTTACCCCGTTGGCCAGGCTGGTCTCAAGCTCCTAACCTCAAGTAATCCATCTACTTTGGCCTCCCAAAGCACTGGGATTACAGGTGTGAGTCATGGCACCCGGCCCAGAGTGTTTAAATGACTTGTCCAAGTGTGACAGCTGAAGGAGGTAAGATTCAAACACCAATCTAGCCAGGTGTGGTGGCTCGCACCTACAATCCCGGCTACTCGGGAGGCTGAGGTGGGAGGATCACTTGAGGCCAGGAGTTCAAGACTGGCCTGGGCAATATAGCAACACTCTGTCTCTTAAAAGCAAACAGAAACACCAATCTGATAGACTCTCAGGGCGGCCATGTTTGGTCGTGCAGGTTGAATACTGCACAATCCTAGAGGCCACCACTCCTGCAGATTACAGTACTGACCATCTGAATCACTACGCTACCAGCTGAGGCTTGACTGTGCACAAAGCCTCCAGCTGTAGTAGCCCTTCCCTCTTCACTGAGCAACCTCTTGCTTTGACTTCTATGATTACCTGAGCAGAGCCTCTGGCCACATCCCATTCCCAGGTAAACAGACTCACAGGACATGCCAAGGAGCACCAGAAGCTTCATTTAACCTTGGTGGCCAAGTAGCAAAATGACTAACTCCAATAGGTAAATTGCATCAAAACCAGCAGCATTTCAACCACAGGTGGGCTTGGCTGGGAAAAAGATCTACAGGTCTAAGTGAACCTGACAGGTATCCTGGAACCTGAAATTTGGACTAAAGTAAGAGTCCATTTAATGGAACAGTTTCTCTAATTAGGGTCTGCTGCCTCTCGGATACATTTGGGCATATATACCTGTGCATGTGTGTTGAGGGTGGGGTGGGGGTGGAGAGGATTTGCTCTTTTTGTAGGACAATTTCAGGTTTTTCTGTTTTTATTTAGACAGTCTAATTTTTAATACGTGTACATACATGTGTATCATGATAGAACCGTGAAGAGATTTCAGTGCCTGTACTGGACTTCAGGGACAGGCAAGTGACATCCTACAGACACAGACATGATGCCTTTGGACACTAGAGTGTTCAGATCATGTCTCTGCACCTAACCAACTGGCAACAAGAGATCAATTCACTGGGATGAACAATGAAACATTTTTCTGTTCCCAATTCCAAGAGTAATTGGTTATCCATTCATTCATAATTTCAATAACACTACAATGCTAACTTTTATTTTTAAGTGATCAGGATAGAACCAATAAGCACCGCTGCATGAAAACGGGTGTTTGATGACCGGCAAGACTCAGAGAAGCAAGAGGTCTAATCGTGCTGAACCAGCAAATGAAGCCTTCAATTTGGTATTCTCATCCTGCACAAGCACTTACTTATGCAAACAGGCATTCTCTGCATTAGTATTACTGACGTAAAAGAACCGAAACAGATTATAGATCTGGACCTGAGGCTACATCTTTCTAATATTAAAAACCCACATTCTGAATTTAGTTTCTGCAAAACGACATCATCCATCACGCTAAAATAATGTTGTTAATTTGAATTTTATTGAGTTTAAATTTTGTTTGTATTTAACGTGAAATTGTGTTTTGGTTTTATAGTCCTAAAAGAACCATAAGCATGAGTTGTCAGTTTATTCTGAGTTTTATATTTGTACATAGTTAAATAACATAATAATAAAAATATTTACATTATCACCATGGGAAAGGACTGTGAAATTGTATTTTACTTTAAAAGGGCTCTTTATACCTTGCTCAAGTTTGAGAAACACTGTGATGGCCCAAGATTGCATGCAATGTTACTTTAGGAATGAAACTCAGAGACCATCACGTCGTTGGGAATTCCCTTACTTCAGTTTCCTCAGGGAGGATCAGAAAGGTTAGGTGACTTTCCTAAGAGCACACAGCTAGTTAGCAGCAGGGCTGGGAGTCACAGCCTAGTCTCCTGGCTCCTTACGCAGCCCGAGTGTATTACTGAAGTCCGAGGCAGGAGCCACAATAGAGATGACAGCAACCCTAAGCCAGGAGTGATACCAGGTGCTTTACCAGCCTCACTGACCTTGTATCTTACAGCAAACCAGACACAGCTGTTAATCCTGCCATTTTACAGAGACAGACACTGAGTCCCAGAGAACTCATCAGACCAAGTTACTAAGTCAAGACAAAACAGCATGCACAATCCGGGCTTCTACCCTGAGGGTTTTAATGGGGTAAGCCTTGTATCCACCTCCCTCTAAGCCAAAACGGTTCCTTCCCTTTCTGGAGTTCATGGTTGTTTCTGTAACCTAGCACCTGGCGCAGTCCCTGCTTCATTAGTGATGCTTAGTAAATATTTGCTAAACCGACAAGTTATTTCTTAACTAAAAAGCAGTGTTTGAGACCTCCCTTTTCCGTGGAAAACTCTGCGATGCGTGAGGGGAGAGAAGCTGTTCCTAAAGAGGAATCCCCCAAGCTGTCTGGGGCTCCCTGCTGCCTTTCACCACCCAGAATGCTGGAAGACATGGCGCGCAATTATCAGCTCCAACAATGAGCCAACGGCGGCCCTCCGAGCAAGCCCAGACAAAGCACAGAGACCTTGCAGCTGAAAAGGCTCTGAATGCAGACAGGGGAGGTGTGAAAGCAAGGTTAGAGTGAGCTGCCGCGGCTGCTTGGGGCAGGAGGGGAGGAATGAGGGCGCACAATGCCACCCTTCCCCCGGTACAGGCACGCTCTCCCTGGGGCACCCTGTTCCACTGTCTGAGCTTTTGTCGCCCACTCTGGAACCAGTCTAGGCGTGCAGTGAGGGAAAACGCCAGCTGCAGCGGAAGCCCGAGCCTGCGAAATCTCAAAGGAAGGACGAAAACAACGGCAAGAAAACCCTTCTCAGTGCTCAGGGTTAATTATTTATTTTTTTAAGGAGGCAAACTAAGGAGGCTTCCACGTGGCCGTGGTTTGGGATTGCTCGACCAGTTAGTCTGGCAGATGGAAACAGCCTCATGGCAGATAAATGACATACTCTTAGTCAAGTACGTGCAGCTGTTGACTTATCAAAGACGCTGGCCCCACATCTGTGGCAGACATCACTAATCAATTTCGGTGCCATTTTCCACGGAGCCCAAACAGTCTCAATCCTCCCGCACAGGGTTCCAGGCAGCCATGACCAATGGGTTTGTGTTGGCTTGGAAATGGCAGGCCTATCCCAAACCCTTCATGGAATCATTCAACAAATGAGGCCCCGAGAGGTCATGTAATCGCCGGAGGTCAAGCAGCAGGGCCCAGGCCAGAATTCAGGTCTCCTGACTCCCTGGCTAGTGTTTTTTTTCCACGTGGAAAATCACACTGGCGCCTTTCCAAGCTGACAGCCAACTCCTGATGAAGGAGGAGGAAGGACAGCATGAAGACAAGAACTCAGCTAACCCGAGTATGTCCTCTGAGCAAGTGGCACTTCTCTTGGCTTGAGCAGCAGTAACTTTTACAGCCTCTGATCATCCTCTGGACATATTGGTAGGATGATCAAAAAGGAGAAGAGTCTGCAAAGCCAGCTTCTCCAGTGAAGAAGGTATCACTCAGTAAACATCCCTCCCAAACTCCTTGGGGCTGCATTCCCAGAGATCTTAAATAGGGCAGGGCATGTTCTGAGAAACATGGCTTTGTGCCCATCCTGCAATATGGAGAATCTGGAGAGACACAGATAGACAGAAGCCTAAGAAAGTTCCGCACTGGTTTCTTTGCTTTCTGAAAAGGGTCTAGAAAGATCCCCAAACAGTGTTTCCTCACACTGCAAACTGAAGGTTAATATTTTCTACATTCTTTATAGTACAAGGTTCATGTATGAACCTACTAAATAAAAATAGATCCTAGATAAAATGTACTTACTAGGTCAGCCTTTTGATTTCCCTAGGTACAGTTAGCCTAGATTTAAGTAATAAACTGTATAAATTGTCTATATGGAGTATAAAAGTTGGGATAATTTCTCTTCCCCCACTTATCCCCCCATCTGTTGACTCTGTGGCAGCTGAATATTAGTTTCCTTCTGACCAAGGAACCACCACCTGCAGGTGACCCTAAAGCCTAGAGGATTCTACCTTCTTTGACCCCATAAAAGGCTACTGCTGGCATACTTTGGGGAGGAAGTTTCACATAGAGAGTAAGCCTGGCCTCTCACTCCATCAGGAATTCCTTCTTTTATTCATTCATTCATTCATTCATTCATTCGAGACAGAGTCTTGCTCTGTCACCCAGGCTGGAGTGCAGTGGTGTAATCTTGGCTTACTGCAACCTCCACCTCCTGGGTTCAAGTGATTCTCCCACCTTAGCCTCCCGAGTAGCTGGGACGACAGGCGCCTGCCACCACGCCTGGCTAATTTTTTTTTTTCTATTTTTGGTAGAGACGGGGTTTCACCATGTTGGCTAGGCTGGTCTTGAACTCCTGACCTCAGGTGATCCACCTGCCTCAGCTTCCCAAAGTGCTGGGATTACAGGCGTGAGCCACCATGCCCAGCCCCAGGAATTCCTTCTTAAGCATCCTTAACAAACAGTTAACCTTGACATCACTTGCTTACCGCTGATGATAGGCAACTCATTACTGCAGGAAATGGCCTTTTTCTAATGCTTTATAGTTTGGGATATTCACTTTTAAAAAACCTTTGAATTTTGAGATAATTATAGATCTATATGCAGTTGTAAGAAAGAATCAGAGAGATCTTATACACCCTTCACCCAGTTTCCCTCAATGGTGACATCTGGCAAAACTACAGTACAATATCATCATCAGAAAATCAACATTAATAATTGACCTTATTCAGATTTCACTAGTTTTATATGCGGTCATTTGCATGTATGTATTGAGTTCCATGAAATCTTATGAGTAGTTATGAGTGTCCACCACAATGAAAACACAGAATGGTTTTATCACAAGGACCCCCTAAGCTACCTTTTGATAGACACAGGCACCTCCCTCCCTCCTGCCTCCCACTCATCTAATTTTGTCATTTCAAGAACATTATAGAGCTGTGTGTGGTGGCTCACACCTGTAATCCCAGCACTTTGGGAGGCTGACACAGGAGGATTACTTGGGCTCAGTTCAAGACCAGCCTGGGCAACATAGCAAGCCCTGTCTCTACAAAAAAACTGAAAAATTAGCTGGGCGTGGAAGTGCATGCCTGTAATCTCAGCTACTCAGGAGGCTGGGGAAGGAGGATCCCTTGAGCCCAGGAGTTTGAGGCTTCAGTGAGCAATGATTACACTACTGTACTCTAGCCTGGACAACAGAATGAGACCCAGTCTCAAAAAAAAAAAAAAAAAAGACAACGTTATATAAATGGAATCACACAGTATGTCATCTTTTCAGGATTATTTTTTTCTATTTAGTATAAATCTCTGGAGATTTAGCCACGTTGTTTTGTGAATCAATAGTTTGTCCCTTTTTACTGCTGAGCAGCATCCCATGTCTTGAACATACCAGTTTGTGTAGCTATTTTCCTACTGAAAGACATTTGGGTTGTTTCCAAGTTTTGGCTATTTATGCATAAAGGTATTATGAACATTCAATTATAGATTCCTTTTATGGGGGGGTTAGCAGCTTTATTGAGATATAATTCACATCTTATATAGTTCACCCATTTAAAGTGCACAACTTGATGGTTTTTGCTACATTTACAGAGCTGTGCAACCCTTGCCACAGCCAATTTTAGAAGATTTTCATTACCTCACACAGAAGTCCTGTACCCTCTATCCAGTAACTCCCAACCTACCTTCCCCTTCCCTAAGCAACTGTGAATCTACTTTCAGTCTCTACGGATGTGCCTAGTCATCCCTCGGTATCCACAGGGGATGGGTTCCAGGACCCTCATGGGTACCAAAATCCAAGGATGCTCAAGTCCCTTCTGCATTATTTTCGATCTGTGGTTGGTGGAATCTGTGGGTGCAGAATCTGTGGATGTGGAACCCACAGATACAGAATCATAGGATACGTGGCCTTTCGTGTCTGGCTTCTTTCACTCAGCATCATGTTTTCAAATCCACGTTATCAGTAGTCCATTCCTATTTATGGCCGAATAACATTCCATTGTATGAATACACCCCATTTTGTTTATCCACTCATCAGCTGACAGACATCTGTTTTTGTGTGAACGTGAGTTGTCATTTCTCTGTTGTTGATGCCCAAGAGTGCAATCACTGGGTCATAGAGAAAGTGCACGTTTTACTTTGTAAGAAACTGCCCACACTTGGAATTTCCCAGAGCAGCTGTACCATTTTTGGCTCCCATGAGCAATGCATAAACAATCCAGTTTCTCTGCATCATTGTCAGCATTTTGTGTCACCACTATTTTTTATTTTAGCCATCCTGACCGTTACATGTATATTCATTTGTTTGTACCCTCAGCAGAAATCTGATTTTCGGTAACATTTGCTGTGAGTCAGAGCCCTGAATATTCCTCTTGGGCATTCCTTTTGTAGGCTGGCCAACCCTATATCAGATCTTCTATCTTGATATAATCTGGGTAGTTCCTGTCTCTCCCTCCTAAAATAAGAGGACATACTTACTCACTTTACCCGTTAAAAGACAGATTTAAGATGTGGTCATGCCATAGAGGAGTTGAGACCTCTGGGATCCGGACCATGGGATTCTGTTGAGCTACATCCCACAGCTGGTTAATGTGAACCCTGGAGTCCACTAAGAACTCAAGATCTTTTTTTTGAAATAAAAAGATATGAGGCAAGGACTCCTACATTCTGTCTTGGGGCCATTCCCTTAGTGGAACTGATTCCCTGGCATTTTGTAGTCACTGCCTGGTACCTGTGCTCATCTTCCAGGTGGCTCATCACTTCCTTAGACTGTGGTTATTCTGAGGGTAGGAGGTAGAGCACTGAGCTCCCAATAAGCACGTGGTTATTTGTGGACTGCCCTTGATAAGCACAGTGGACAGTAAAACCTCAGGGGTGATGCTTGCTGAAGATAGGCATGTTGTAAGGGCTCAGCAGATATGTTGCTGAATGGGCACATGAAAGAGTTAAAAAAAACTCTTTCCCTTGAATTCATAATAGGAAAGACAGCACAGGAAGAGTATCTGTGAGTGCAAATACGGCTTTGCCACTTGTGCAGGGTTTTATAGCTGGGAAGCCATCTGACTTGTGCGCTTCAGTTCCCCAGGCTTCTTGGCGGGGGAATGAATGAAATCCTGAGCACAAAAGCACTTCAGGCCCCGGCAGGCCCTTGGGTAAGGTGCTGTGCAGACATCGGGAGGTATCGTTAATGGTGCCTTGCTCACATAGGCAGAGAATGCAGCAGCGAGGACCATCAATACTCAAATGCTGGTGCTGAGGCTGACATGCATGGATCCCAACAGGAATGCTCACAGAAGCCCCCAAACACACATAGACACACGGCCAGATGGGTTGAGGCACACAACCTTGGCATCACGACTGTGGCCAGTGGTTATTTGTGCTGTATGACAGGTGAGGAGAGGATGTGTGTGTGTGGAGCGGGGCTGTGAGGGATGCACATTCCACCAAGATGGCAGCTCTCTCAGACTTTCCCGTCCCCGAATGTGGCCAATCATCCAGCTAGCTGCTTAGGACCTAAATATAGGTGTCATCTGCAATCCCTCTCTCTGCCATAGTCCTCACCAAAGCCACCATCAAACATATTCCCAAACTGACCTGGCATCCCACTTCCGTGGCTGACGCCTGGTCCAAGCCGCAGTCAGCTATGGCCCAGGTGAAGCAAAAACCCCCTCTTGGGTCTCCTCACACCTGCTAGTCCCCCTGAGAGACTTTTCTCCTTACAAGATCTTTTACAAATGTAAGTCAAGAAAGCCCAAAGACCTGAAGTGCTAATGGCCAACCCCAGCCAGGCAATCACGAGAAAGAACAAAGCCACTGGATATCAAGTCTATTACAAAGCCTTGGTAATTAACACAGGTTGGTATTGGCATGGGGGCAGACAAATAGACCCGGGGAGCAGATTAGAGTCAGAAGCAGACCCTCACACACAGTCACCTGATCTATGACAAAATCAATGCTGCAGAGGGAGGGGAAAGAATGGTCTTTGCAATAAATGATATTGGGCCAATTGAATATCCAAGTGGAAAAAAAATGCTCCTTGGTCTGCACCTCACGCCATATACAAAAATCAATGCCAGATGGATTGCATACCTTGATGTGAAGGGTCAAAGAGAAGCCTTTCCTTTTAGAGAAAAATATAGGTGGCCACCTTCATGAGCTCAGAGGAGGCAAGGATCTCTTAGCAGACACAAAAAGTTATAACCAGGAAGGAGAAAGAATGACAGTGACAATATCTAAGTGAAGAGCCTCTGTTCATCAAAGGATACCACCAAGAAGGTGAAAGCAACCCACAGAATGGGAGACACTGCAATCACACAGTCCAGAATACAGAAAGTTAAATAAAAAGTAATTAGAAAATTGAAAAGAAAAATAAATTTAAAAATCATACAAGCCAGTTTTTAAAAAGTGGGCAAAAGACTTGAACAGACATCCCACAAGAGACAATAGATATCCAAATGGCTCATAAACATAGGAGAAAATATTTGACTTCCTGAACTATCAGGGAAGCACAGATTAGAACCATAATACAGTAATACCACTGTAGCCATTATCCACCTACCAGAATGGCTAAGGAAAAGACAGACAACACCAAGTGTGGACGAGGATGAGGCGCACCAGAACACCATAAACTGACCGTGGAAGGAAGCGCAAACTGATACAACCACTTTGGAAACCTGCCTGGAAATAAATATCTACTAAAGCTGAGATATGCATACCCTGTGGCCCTGCAATTCCATACCTACACATACACTCTACAGGGACACATGCATGTGGATGCCAAAGAAATGCTCACAGGAGCAGTATTTGAAATAGCCCAAACCCTGCCAACTACCCAAATGCTCATTGGTAAAATGGGTAAGTATATTGCAACATATTCACACAATGGAATTCTAGATGGTCACAACAATGAATGGATTACAACTGCAACATAGCAAGTGCGGATCCCAGAAATAGAATGATGATCAAAGAAGCCAGACACAAATGAGAATATATGTTCCAGTTCCATTTACAGAAAGTACAAAAACAGGCAACACTAATATATGTTTTTCGAAGTTAAGAGAGTGGCTGCTCTTGGTGGGGGGCAGGTAGTGACTGGCAGGAGGCGCTGGGCAGGGGCTAGCTGGAAATGCTCTGCCTCTTGAGCCAGGTGCTGGTTACACAGTGGTGCTGAATTTGTGACCACCTGCCATACTGTCCGCTTAGGATCTGTGCACTTTTCTGCACGCATGCTAGCTGGCAATCACACGGGGCAAGGCTGGTCCTGCCTCGTCGGGGCTCGGCATTTACTGTCTCTGGATCTGCACGTGCTCACTCCTTCACAACCCAGGTCTCCACGCAAATGTCCCCTGCTTGGAGGAGCCTTACCTAACTGCCCAGTCTAAGATTCCCTGTACTGGATGTCTCCCAAATGATGTGTACTTGAAACCTGTAATGTGACCTTACTTAGAAATAGGACCTCTACAGATGTGATCAAGATCAGATGGGGTCATATGGATTAGTGTGGGTCCTCGATGCAATGCCCGGTGTCCTTATCGGGAGAAGGCACAGAAGGAAGAACGCCAGAGACGACAGAGGCAGAGACGGGACTGACACAGCCCCATGCCAAGCAATAGCAGGGATTGGCAGCAGCTTCCAGGAGCGGGAGGAAGCGAGGAAGGATCCCCCCTGCAGCCTTCGGAGGCAGCATGGCCCTGCCCACACCTTGAACTGGGACTTCTGGCTTCTGGAACTGTGAGAATACATGTCTGCTGTTTAAGACCCCCATTGTGGCATGTTGTCATGGCAGCCACAGAAACTGGTACTGGTCTTATTCTCATCCCTCCTAACTCTTGCTTTAACTGTCTTCAGAACGCTCATGCCACCATGTCACGGAATTTATTTGTTCATTTGTTTACTGCCCCTACTGCCAACCACCATTAGAACATAAGAGCCACGAGGGCAGGAACTTTGCCTTGTTCACAGCCACCTTCCCAGTGCCGAGCAATGCACCTGGTACAGAGAGAGGCTCCATCAACGCCAGAGGAATGCCAGGGGAATAAATCTGCATCTCCCGTGGTGCAGAGGAGACAGGAGGCACCCCATGCACACTGAAGGAATGAAAGCACGCATTCATTCCGTCCTTTCAAACCACAGCAAAGTAGGAAGAGTGGGAATATCCTGATAGGAAAACAGGGCAGAGTGGGGAAATGACCCGGTCCTCGCGGCCAGCCCTCCGAGGGGGTCAACAGGACTTAGCTTTATTTGTAACCCCTGTATGTTTTATAAGGGGAGGAAAAAAATACCTTATCTGTGTAACTGAAACTAGAAGGCCACAAACCCCGTTTTCTGACTTCAGGTTCCCAGTGCTCTGTGAGGACGTGCCAAATCCCCACTTAGGCCTTGTGTTTAACTGAGTCCAGGGGTTGGCAAACTTTTCCCAGCCAGGGCCAGAGCATCGATATTTGGAAATACCTCATCAAGGTAGGATGAGGTCATATGGATGAGGTTGCAAGCTCTTAACTCTGCTGCGGAAGCCCCAAAGCACCAGGCAATAATGAGCAAGCATAGCTGGAGTTGGTCAGTGGTCAGTGGCTGTGATGCCCCCTGACCTAGGGCCTCTCTGGGGAAGTGGATTTGGGAGGAGACGACCTGTGCAGAGGAGAGACACCTGGGGTCAGCCTCATCCTCCTCACCCATCCCTTTGAGAACTTGGCTAAGGGTTTTCTCCCACCCCACACACCTCACTCAACCCATCCTGCCTGGCTGGCTCTCAGGAGCTGCCTGAGCCTGATTTTTGCAGAGTTTCTTCAGGGAAAGCCTGGAGAATGGGAAGTCTTCCCCCATCCTGCTCTGTGTCTCTGCCCTAGCAGATGAAAGGGCTCAAAGGGCTGGAAGCTTTTGGAAAAGTACTGCTGACAACCAGGAGTCAATCGGGCAGTGACCCCATGCCTGTGTGGGGGAGACAAGGGAGGTGTGTGTGGGGAGCATGAGTGAGCAAGCTGTCCTCGGCCCTCCTTCCACTGTCACGGCCACTGCAAGAGGAAATGAGAAGGCCAGGAGGCCAGGGATGGACAGACGTTGCCCACAAAGCAGGCACAACAGGTGTGGGGTGGACAGGAGATGCAAGCCTTGTAATTAAGATCTCCAGACACCTGTTGTGAACTCTCGCCCATTCACACCCTAGCAGGTGGTTCACACCTCAAGGAAGAAAATAGCAAAAAAAAAAAAAAAAAAAAAAAAAAAAAAGATGCTGAGATAAAAGGAGAAAAGTAGCTCTCCATCTGCCAGCCTGCAATTGCTGCCTGCTCTCACCAGACATCCCTGACCCATGGCAGGAGTTCCAGGGCGATAAGTGAAGCTCTGGAGGGAGAGCTGGTTGTGCTGGTCTGTGTGACCAGCCTCAGAGCTGTGTGACCTGGGGCAGACTGCTGAACCTCTCTGTGCCTTACACTTCGCGTTTCTACCAGGATTGTATTGAGACAGGCTTCACATAGTGGGTATGCACTCCACAAACATTATCACAGCACCAGCTATGTAGCAGGCACCTGTGGACATGACAGTGAGCCAGTCAGAGTGTCCCAGCTTATATTCGGGGGTTGGGGGTCAGTACACTAAGCAACCACATGGAGCAGTTCCAAGGGGAGCTGAGGCAGCTGGGGTGCAATGGTAACGGGACTGCAGGACCGCAGGACAGGCTGAGCTACCCTGGACAGGGGTCAGGAGTTAGTCAGTGGAAGAGTGTGCTGGCGTGTGCTGAAGGCCTCATTTTATTCTATTTTTTTAGAGAGAAGGTCTCACTCTGTTGCACAGGCTGGGGTGCAGTGGCCTGATTATAGCTCACTGCAAACTCAGACTCCCAGACTCAAACAATTTTCCTGCCTCAGCCTCCTGAGTAACTGGGACTATAGGAGTGCCACACAGTTCAGCTAATTTTTGTATTTGTTGTAGAGATGGGGTCTTGCTATGTTGTCCAGCATAGTCTCGAACTCCTAGCTTCAAAGGATCCTCCTGCTTTGGCCTCCCAAAGTGCGGGAACAGACTTTTAGCATTTGCTACCCTGGTGATGGCCATGCGGGCGATTTTCTCTCAGGGGCCAAGCTCAAGGAAAAGCTAATTGCCCAAAGCCCCAACCAAGAAGGTAACTCTCTCACAAATGTCCACCTGACTCCAATGGCTGGAAGGCAACGTGAACCACCTGTCGGTAAAAAGGAAGGGAGGGAGCGGTGAAGGAAGAAAGCGAAATCGGGTCTTGACTGTGAACCTGTGGATGTCAGCTTCCCACAGAGAAGACAGCGGAAGCTCACAGGTGGAAAGTGAGCCGGGGGACTCTGGAGTACTGTGTATATGGACAGGCTAAGCGTGAGCCACCCAAGCCTTCCTTCTCACCTCCAGACCCACTTGACTGTCTTCCTAAACCTAACCCCAAACAGTGTTCCTGACGTGGCAGACCACCAGAAGGAAACACAGTAATAACAGCTACGCTGGCTGGGAGCTTTTCATGAGCCCGGCACTACGCTAGGCGTCTCACATACTTGACTCATCTTTTATCACCCAGCTGTCAGGCAGGGCTTTTCATCCCCATTTTACAGATGAGGAAAACTGAGGCCCGGAGAGCTAACATGACATAGCATAGGAAGGGAGAGAAGTGCATTGAATCCACAGATTTATCACCAGAACTGACTCTTCACCATGACTTGACCTGGCCTGGACTTCAGAGCTGCCTAGACATTCCCACGCCATCCTCAGAGAGGCAGGTCTGAAACGCGCTCCTTAGCAGTTTCCACAGAGGGCCTTAGTGATGATCATGACAGTGACAGACATGCTCCCATAAACACCTCCCTCCTTTAGTCAGCCTGTCCACCCACCCTCTCCCTGAGCCTTTCACCGCCTGGGCAGGGAGGCAGGGGAGGCAGACACACTCTTCATTCCCACCCTGCAGGCGAGCAAACTAAGCCTGGCCAATGGCCACTACACCCAGGCTCCAAACTTCCCGATTCTTCTACTGGTTCACAGGCAGAACTGGCTATATAGTTGGCAGGGCCTGGCGCAAAAGAAAAATCCAGGACCCCTTGTTCACACATTACTAAGAATTTCAAGATGGTGACAGCAGTGCATTTAACCAAGTGTGAGGCCAATCCTGTTTGCAGAACCTCCTTCCTGGAAGATGGGGGGTACTGCCTGCCAGAACCCAGGTGGCTCAAACAAGGCTGCCCCATGGACTATGACAGAAATGGGCAAGCCGAGGGTCCATCTAGGAATAGCACCGTTACTGTCTGTACCCTAGTTTCTTCATATAGAAGGCAGGTTTAACAACAGTCTTACCATGTTGGGCTGCTGTGTGGACGAACTGATACAAAGACTGCGTGGCACGTGGTTCACCCCATGTCCCATGCCTCCCCGATGCCTGTATTAGCCAGCTCTGTTTTTAACACCACTTCCAGCTTTTGAAATGGGGGTGGAAATAAGACCCTCTCCACCAAACGCTTGAGCTCTGCATACAGCTGCTGTGTATCAGCAGGAGAGCCCCAAGTGTAAGCTTCATTTGCATGTATACACTCAGGCCCGATCCAGGCCCTGAACTGCCTCTCTGCCCTGGGCACTTCCTGGTGGAGACAGGGAAAGAGGAAAATAAACAACATGGCAAAACACACATGTGCAACATACCTACTCCAGAGCAAACCCAGATGGGGTGGCGGTGGGGGGGGTGGGAAGCCCAGTCTCCACTTCCTTCCTTCCTTCTTTTAGATCCATACTAACCTAAGACTCTGGGCACCTGCCGGGTGAGCTGACCACTGGCCATTTCCGTCCTTGTTTGAGTGGTGGGGTGAGAAGTTTGTGTGTACATGCATACTTGCACAGTCTGGGACACCCCTATTTGTGTGTCTTCCACATTTCCTTTTGGGGGATAAAGGGGAGCTGGCTCAGCCTGTCCCTCAAGGTCCTTCCTGACTCTCTACCCCAGAACACAGACGAATGGGGCAGAAATAGAGGATTACAGGATTACAGCCTTCCTTTACAGAAGAAAAAACAAAAACAAAACAAACAAACAAAAAAACCAGGAAAACGCTGCCCAGGACCTTCAAGGCTTCAGCACTGCCGTTGTGGACCTGGGTTCTGTCTATAAACTCAGATTCAAACCCTGGGTTCAAATCCTGGCTCCACTGGTTTGGTGCTGTTGAACACCACAGTCAACATTTATTAACTACCTGTTACTCTGCCAGGGGCTGGATTAAGTGCCTCATTTGTACAATCTCATTTAATCCTTATAGTCCTTGAGGCCGATGAGCAGCGTGGTGGCCTGAGGCATCTGATGACCCAGTGGGTGGAATTTGGGCTCTGGAGCTGGTTTCTTCACTGAGAAACAGAGACATGAAACTACTTTACCGGGCCACGGTGATGAATGGGCCCCCAGAAACATGAGGCACTGCAGCGCACGGGGCCGGGGACATGAGAAAGAAATCAACACTCACACGTATTACCACAGCATCATCACAAATTAGTGTATGTTATCACTAGTGTTACTACCACTAGTTTATGCCAGGGGAAACTGAAGTCCGAAAAGAGAGCCACAGAGAAGACGAGAATCGCTGTCTGCAAATCCACTGCTGTGCCTCTCTCTGAGTTTCCAAAAGCATAATCCTTGAGTCACCCTAGACAGTGATCCCACAGAAACATGGAAATGCAGTGCCTCCTGATGCCTGTCTGGTTTAACCCAAGGCTGGTTAGTTAAGGGGCTGGAGTGTGGTGCACTGAGGCCCGAGTGGAAGGCTGGTGGCCTCCGGGAAGGGCCCCAGGCACTGCTGCCTCGGGCTAGGAGGCTGCCTTCTCTCCCCTCCAGCAGGCGGGGTAGCTTGAGGCCCTGCCCAGAGAATGCTCTCCGGAGCCCTGCACTCTCACCTGCACACCTGTCCCACTGGCTGTCCCTGTCAGTTTCCTCTCTGGTCCCCCACAGAGAGACCTGAGTCTCTCCTGAAATGGCTACATGCCTCGTGCCTAGCACAGTGCCTGGTATAAATGACACACTCGCTGTCATTTGGTCCCACTGGAATGATCTGGAGGAAGACAGTTCCTTCTAGACCCAAGAAAACAGGCAGCAGAGAGGAGTGGCTCCAAGCCGGGGCTCTGGGTTAGGCTGACTTAGATCCAAATCCCCATTCAGCGGCATGGTCCCAGGCAGGACACTCCATCTCCCTAGTTTCCATCTCCAGTTTCTGTCTGGGTGCAAAAGGAATGACAGCATCCATCCCTCGCAGGGCTGCTGTGCGGCTTAAAAGAGGTGATTCTGCACGGGAAGGCATTCAAGCTCAGAGCCCCGCACACAGCAAGCGTGTAATAAAAGGGAGTTGTGATTTTTACTACACCTGGTAGGAGAAACCCATAGAACCTGCCTGCCCAAATGGACCAGCTTGGTTCCCCGAAACCCTGAAACCTCCCCCTGGCTAATGACCTTTACCGGCCAGTGGCTTTGTCTGAAATCCTGTCTGGGGCTTCCCTGGACAATCTTGAAGTCCCTGAGAAGGCTCACAGCGACCCCTGCTGTCTGCAACGAGGAACTGCCTTACATCCCCAGCCGGAGTGAACAACAATAGCAGGTACGGCCCTCCAAGAAGGTCTTACGTTTCCAGGGTTTTAAGAAAACTCTCATCAGAACAATGGCAAGGAGAAGAGTCACCACATGTAATTATGTTCAGTGGACACTAATTCCCTGTCTTCTAAAAATAAATATAATACATGAGATCACACAAAGTGCTCTCTCTTCCCTTGTGGTCTTTTGTTTCCCCGGATAAGTGTCATCCTAAATATACTGCAGAACCAAGTGAAACTGTCATTTCAGCGGGATATTATTTCCCGATCAACATGCGCTCTTCTTAGCAAGCCCGTTTTAATCTGGCAGTTCTTAAGTTGGACTCCTTTTAAAAAGCAGAGCATGTTTAAACAAGCAGACATACCGAGAGGCTAAGGATATGTACCTTCCTGGAGGGACGACTGATCAGTCGAGGTTTAGGGAAATGGGAAACCTCCCCCCAGGTCATGACCCCATCTCGCCAGGCTATTCCTGCTGTGCAGGATACCCGGAGATCATAGCTAAGATCCTGCTTCCCAGATACTGGCAGGATTGGTCTCTGCCTCAGATCCCAGCTCACCACACACCACATCTGTTTATGAACTGAATACTAGTGTATGATTTAGAACAAACAGAGGGGAAAAGGAGGACAAAGATATCTGAAGTTCCCCACATGACTTCTTATTCTTCAAACTACAGAGTGAGAGCAAAGAAGGTAGATGCCACACAAAGATAATTGTTTCTCATCTCCAAAACACAAGGCTGATTTTGTAACCACAGATTACCTTGCAAGATGCTAACTGGCAACTCTAACAGAGGCTTCACTCTTGGACCCTTGTGCAAGTGTAGAATGAACGAACGAGACCTAGTGTCTAGAATCCTAAATGTTCACCCACGCGCAGGCCATGGTGCTGCAGGTCCCCCGAGCAGTCCTGGATCCCACCGAAGCCTCAACAATGTGTTTAGGTGAAGCTGACTTCATCTGCCTTTGCATTCTGAGAGCTAGATGGTCTCTCTATTACCCTGCCCATGCCTTGGGTGGGGGGGCCTTGGCTTCAAGCATTCCCCTTAGGCCCTGATATGAGGACGTTTCTTTCATTCATGGCTTGGTGCTGGGTGGTGCCTACCTAATCTGAAAAGCCAAACACTGTAACATGGCAGCGTAGGGATCACCAACTAGGGGCCCTGGGGCAGGCCAGACTTGTTTTGTTTTTAAAAAGTGAATTAGTTGCTGATGAATTCTCCTTAAGAATCCACATGGCTGGTTTCTCTTTCAAAACATGGGAACTGGTCTTACGAAGCCTGAGTTCCTGCATGGCATCCCAGCTGGATGACCAGAGAGAGGCCCGCCTGCTGCTCAGTCCCCACCCAGCCTGCTGCCGTTACCGGCTGGGTCCCTGCGACAGCTGCATTTTCCACCCCTGTGCAAGCAGGTGCTGACGGACTGCTTTATGTGTGCAGGTAATTCGCCTTCATTTCCATAGAGTCATTTAGGCCACTGGTCCCCAACCCCGGCTGGACATTAGGATCCCCTGGGGAGCTTTTAGCAAAACACCGATGTCTAGACCCCACTGTTGAAAAATGGAATCCAACTCTCTGGGGGTGCAGCCTCGGGAAAGGTGTATTTTAGCCATTGCCAGGTGGCTGGAATGTGTGGCTAAGGTGGAAAACCAGCACCTTAAACCAAAGGGGTAGCCTGGATGGAGGAAATTTCAAGCAGATCATGGGTAGGGCTGGGTTTTAGCCACTGGGGCCCCTGCCCCTCTTGCACGTTGTGGATGGGGACAGGGAAGCCTGCCTGCCCTTTCTCCATCTGCCTCGGAGAGGGGGAAGCCTGGCTGTTTTGACTTTTTTCCTGCACAGTGCTCTGGGGAGCCACATCTGAGATTAAGGGAGATAAATCAAAAGCAGCCAAAAGATGACCTTTGAAAGACCACTGTGCCGGCCTGCAACGGAACCATCCAGGACCCAAAGGCCATCTTCCCTGAGACTCGGGCAGGCTCCCCGCCCACACGCCAGTCCCCTGGACTAAACCTGAAGTTCTCACCTGAAGAGCTCTCGGATCTCCCGGCTGTGGGCCTGGAAGGGGATGTTCCGCACCAGGATCTTGGAGGTGGTCTGCTTTCTGGGAACTTGTTTCTTCCGAGCCAATGTCACGGCTGGCCTGGAGTGGTGGGGGGAGAGGGTCCAAGTTATTCGGAGCTTCAGCAGCTCCTGCCCAACATTGACTCCACTACGCCTCCATCAGAATATTCAGGTGATGGATTCAAGGAGTGTGCGTGGGGTGCGGGACCAACGTGAAAGGAGAGGAAGGCCGTCTCCCACCAGGTGATAGGACCCAAAACAGCTGCAGACGTCAGGGGGACACATCCGTGCTTGGGTGGCTGCTGACCTTCATTTGAGAGACTCCGGGGCCACCAGGGACTTAAGGAGCCCCGCTAAGGGTGGGGCTGGTTTCTCACCAAACCCAATCTCCATTGTGTCTTTCTCTCCAGTTGCAAAGAAAGACCCCAGTTGGTTTCCAAAGGTCTTGTGACACTTCATCAATAACCCGAGGAGGAACATGCGGGGGCCTAACCATGCAGATGGACCAGGTGGCGAGCAAGGACACTCTCAGCCCAGGTTCAAGGCCATCCCCAATGCAGTGCTACCTGGCCTGTCTCCCTGCTCTCCCAGGGAAACCTCCCACTCCACCAAAACAGGGTAGGGAAGTGAGCAAGGCTGGGAGTTAACAAGCTGGGTGTGAATGCCAAATCCGACACTTAGGATCTCTGCGATCTTGGGCAAGTAACATGGCCGCTCTGGGCCTCCATTTCTTCCACTGTAGAATGGGTGTAATGATAGGCCCACCTAATTTGATTGTTTGAAGATTTAATAAGCAGACTCAGCACTGGACCCAGAATGTGGTAAACATTCAATAAACAGCAGCTGTTATGATAATGACCATGTTAGGACTTACCTCCTTCAGGCCTGCTCCACGTCACCTCCTCACAGGCCTTCCCTGTCTCCATTAAAATGGCAGCCCCCTCACCCACAGCCCCCAGCTTCATTTCTCTTCCTGGCACTGATCCCTGTGCTAGTACATTATACATTTAATCATGTTTCTTTTCTTTTTTTTGTCTTGTCATTCTGGGGCTATGCTGTCTCATATGGCAGCCACCAGCCACATGTGGCTAGTTGAATCTAAATTAAAATGAAGCAAAACTAGGCTGGGCATGGTGGCTCACACCTGTAATCCCAACACTTTGGGAGGCTTAGGTGGATCACCTGAGGTCAGGAGTTCAAGACCAGCCTGGCCAACATAGTGAAACCCTGTCTCTACTGAAAATACAAAAATTAGCCAGGTGTGGTGGCAGGCGCCTGTAATCCCAGTTACTTGGGAGGCTGAGGCACGAGAATTGCTTGAACCCAGGAGGCGGAGGTTGCAGTGAGCTAAGATCACACCACTGCAGTCCAGCCTGGGTGACAGGGTGAGACTCCGTCTCAAAAAAATAGAAGCAGCAAAACTACAAATTCACTTCCTCGGTTGCTGGGGTATCAGGCTCCAAGATGGTGCCCAGTGATTCCTGGCTCTTGGTGTTCATGCCCTGGGTAATCCCTTCCCATGCTGTATCAGGGCAGGTCTGGGTGACAAGCAGCATACAGCAGAGGGATGGTGTGTGAATTCTAAGACTAGGTTGTAGAAGACATTGTGGCCTCCTTCTTCCCCATTCTTGGATCACTCACTCTGGAGAGACCCGCTGCCATGCCATGGGGACACTCAAGCGGTCCCAGAAAGAGATCCCCAAGGTGAGGAACTGAGGACCCCTGCCAGCAGCCATGTGAGTGTATCATCTTAATGACAGATCTACCAGCCCCAGCTGAGCCTTCAGATGACTGCTGCCCTAGCCGACATCCTGACTGTAACCTCATGAGAGACCCTGAGCCAGAATTCCCAGCTAAGCTGCTCCTGAATTCCTGACCCATGAAACTATGAGATAATGTTTTCTTTTCAGCCTTTAAGTTCTGGGATACTTTGTGATGCAGCAATAGATAGCTAAAACAGTTGCACTTGCCATATCTCAAGAGCTAAATAGCCATGTGTGGCAATTGACTACCATATTGGACAGAAGAGATGTGGAACATTTCCATTGCTGCAGAAGCTTCTATGGAACAGCACTGCCCTAGGGTGTAAACTCCCAAGGAAACACTATCCCCCATGCCTAGAAGGAGGATGTGGTACACAGTGGGCTTGCTGTAATTTTTTCTTGAGTAAAACAATGGTTCCATGAACACTGGCTAGGAAGTGAGACCTTGCAAGGCTGAATTCAGGCTGGCTCTCTGGAGATAGGGTACTGGAAAGAAACTGCTGGCTCAGTGCTCATGGGCACTGCAAGTGCTGGATGCTTAACACACAACCTCTACTTAGCACGTTTCACTTCAGAGGCAAAGTCACCCATGCAAGGTCACAGAGCTCCTGAATTAGAAACTACAGGTGTGGGGCTCAAAGCCTGAGCTCCTTCTGTTATACTGGCAGCTCAGGAACCCCCACTAGACTTCTGAGGGCCTCTGTACCAAGCCATCTTCCCTCCAAGGATGCTTAACATAGCACAGACCACAATGGGTGAAAAACACCAGAGCTGGCCCAAGCTGGACTCACAGGAAGCATTAACAACAAAGAAAGAAGGAAAAAGAAAGGTCAATTCGCTGGAAGCTAATTTGCCGGATGACCACAACAAATTACCAACTTGTTGAAAACTACCAAATAAATATCTGAAACCAGCTCTAGGGCTGTTAGAGGCATTCATTTTATCACCCGATGCAAGTAGATGATAATGACAATAATGGCTTACGCTGGGCACCTGTTATGTGCCGGACACTGTTGGAGGCACGTCGGGTGTAATAGTTCATTTAGATATACAAGCAGGTAGAAATGGAGGTGCAAAGATAAATCTCCAAACAATCCCCCTACTTCAGTATACTGGTCATTGGGCAAATTGGTCTGCCTCCATCTCTAACACCTACGGAATCTCTTTCCCATTAACTGGAGGCCATCGTAGGCACTGCCATTCAGCTCTAAGAAAGCACGTCCCATAAAGCTGAATGTCTAGGTTTTACAGCTTCTTCTGGTTCATCCACAGCACCAGCAACCTCCAGCTCTTCCTTGGTTTATTTATCCCAAGATGAGTGTTGTTTGCCTGTTTCTCCTGCACTTGTTCCTTTTCTTATTAAAAAAAAAAAGAAAAAAAAAAGCCCCTGTGCATTAAACATTCACCCAAAGGACTAACACTGTTGTAGTTCACTGGGAAAATCAGGGTCGGACTTGGTAAATGCCAACATAATTAGGCATCTTAATTAGGAAGAGTCCTAAATGGTAAAGGGATAGGTGGAAAGGACATTGAAGGGTTGTGAGACAGCCTCCAGGGTGGCCGGCACCAAGCACAGGAAGCCCCAGCTCGTAGGAAAGGAAATGAGGACACTGAAGACTCACTTAGTGGCTCGTTCCGAGATCCTCACTTCCAGCTTGTGGCCGTCCACGACGTGACCCTAAGAGAGAAGACAACATGGCTCATCTCTCTGTCCCGAGAAATACTCACCCGAATCCTTGCCCTTCACCAGAGCAGAGCCCTGGCTCGCAGATGGGAGCCTGATTGTTCCCCGGGGAGTGGGGCTAGCTGGTCTAGAGGACAGAGGATGGTTTTTCCCTGAAATGGCTCACACCGTGCCCAGGCAGCAGCTGGTGGTCAGAGACTCAGCCCTTGGACGCTCTCTTAAGCCACAGGTAGGCCTTGACCTAGATGTCATTCAAGGGACACGGAATTTTCCATTGTTTATAAGCATGTTCAGGCAAAGTAAGGCCCTTAGGTCTGGCTTGCAGAGAGAGTTGGGTTTAGTTTGTATGTTCCTGAAAAATATTCTAAATCCTAGTGGAGTTGCATCTAAAGCTAGGTTCTAACATTGGTCCCTCAAGGCAGAACTGGTGTATTAGCAAAATTACCCTTGAAAATCCCTTAAATCTCCCATAAAATACAGCACACAGAGCTTCGTAGGAACAATTCTTGGAGGCAATATTCACATATGCATGCACACAATGATGTCCAGAACATAATACAGTACACGTGCAAAGTGAAATTTCATAGAATCTTATATCGCGTGAAAGAGAAACACGGACCACTGAACCTGCAGAGCCAATTTTAAGTTAAATGAGTACACAGCCCCTGACCAGGAAGGGCCTAGGATGTGGGGCATTATGAAGGGAACAGAGGATACCTTCTCAAGCTACTAACACCTACTGCATCTGCTTCACTTTAGCTGAAGGCCATCCTAGGCACCATGCATCAGGATGCATCATCTAATGCAAAGCCACAGAGCTTCTGGATTAGAACTTAGGCTGAGCATGGTGGCTCACGCCTGTAATCCCAGCACTTTGGGAGGCTAAGGCGGGCGGATCACGGGGTCAGGAGATCGAGACCATCCTGGCTAACACGGTGAAACCCCGTCTCTACTAAAAATACGAAAAATTAGCCGGGCTTGGTGGCGGGCGCCTGTAGTCCCAGCTACTCTGGAAGCTGAGGCAGGAGAATGGCGTGAACCTGGGAGGCGGAGCTTGCAGTGAGCCGAGATCGCGCCACTGCACTCCAGCCTGGGCGACAGAGTGAGACTCCGTCTCAAGAAAAAAGAAGAACTTATAGCTGGTGCAAAATTTGCCCTTTGGGATGGTGCCAATCCCAGGCTGTTTTGCTCTCCACAGCCCTAACTCCCCTCCTGCTAGAGAGTATCAATCTGTCCTTGTACTTAGGATCCAGCAGGAAGGCATATCTCCCTTCTCTGTCTGAATAGGATGTTGAGTCTCTGTCCAAACAGCTTTCGGTTCAGCCCTGTTCTCCCCACCTTCTCCCCAACTGGCCAAGCCTGGATGACTCAAGGGTCTCCTACCTGCCCCCTGCCCCCAGCCATCGTCCCCTCTCCACACCAGCAGCTGCAGAGGCTGGAGTAGAAGCCAGTGTGCTCACAGCCCCCTAATGGTCTCCCACTGCCTTTAGGCTGAGCAGTAAAATGGCCTAGAAGATCCTGCCCTGCACACCTCTCTCCTCATCCTGCACCCTGAACCGCCACCCCACGCCGCCCCTGCCACAGTGGCCTCTTAGCTTTTCAAACGTACTAAGCTCATTCCCACCTTATGGCCCCTGCCTCAGACCCTCTGCACATGGTCCCTCCTCCCCAACTACCTCCCTCCCAGATCTCTGTGCAGCTGACTTCTGGCCAAGCAGGTGTGGCCTCAACTGTCACCTCCTTAGAGAGGCCTTCCCTGACCACACAGCCTAAGTGCCCCACCTCCACCCCCAACTCGCAGCTTTGTCTTCATGACCTGGTCCTGCATGTTTATTCAGAGGTCCATGGCCTGTCTACCCCACCAGAAAGAGGGGCCCACGTGAGCAACCTCTCCCAGGCCTACCACCACCCCTGGCTCACGTCAGGCCCTTGATAATAGTGCTGTGGATCAAATGAATGAACTATGGTGACCGTGGAGTGTTGGGAAAGGTTCTTAATTTTTTCTTGGGCCACAGTCCCGTAGAGATCTGGGAAAAGCAATGGGCCCGGTCAAGTGTAGACTTCATACATATTCTCACTCAATTTCAGAGGGCTGACGGGACCTCCCACTACCTGCCAAGTGCCTCCGTGGCCCTCAGCTGAGAATCTTCACTTTACCTGGAGCTGCTTGAGAGCTTTCTGGGCTTGCTCCGGCTTCCTGTATTCCACAAATCCAAACCCCATGGAAAGGAGCACTCCTGAGAGAGAGAGGTGGAAATCACACCAGTCGGTGAAGCGGAAGCACAAGGCCAAGTGCAAGGGCTGTGACGGGCCCCCAGACCTGCGCTGTATTTCCTCTTCTTTTCATACCCCCTTCATTCCCCCCAAAAATCTCAGCACCTGGCTTGCTGTTTATCATTAGTCATCTTGACGAATCAGCCAACGCAGTTAACATGGCTGCCACCTGAGGCCCATTTGACTATTAATTAACAGATGACTGACATGATAATTAACTTCATAATAGGATTCTGCTTTGGGAGGGAGACTGACCTAAGAGAGATGACCATCATGAAGGCAAGTGGCAAAACCTCTACCTGGGCAGTCCTCTGCCTCCACACGTAATGCCTAAAATGAATATGTGCGTGAGAGTCAAACGCACCAAAGGCTTGCTCTTCACAAATATTTCTCACCAGCCAATCACATTCAGTTTCCTGGGTTTCAGATATAAAGTTTGGATCATGTGGGCGACTGCATTATTCAAACTTCTCTGGTTCCTTACTTCTAGGTTGCAAGTAGCAAGAGTTCAGATAGCAAAGAATACTGCAAAAATTTCATCAGAAACTTCCGCTTCCTCACTATGTGTAACTGGGGAGGGAGGAGTGTTTTTATAGGGCACTAAAAAACATTAAGATCCCTAATTACATCTTGCCCTCTTGACATTAGATTTGATGTCCCCCCACCTTCCACCCACACCCCAGCATCTCATACATATTTGTTAGGTTTCTTCTTTATTGTGAATTCAAAGAAGATTCCCTTCAGTCTGATGGGTTCAAATGAGGCTCAAGGCTCTCTACCTTTGGCTCACTTTGCAGGTCCTATCTTTACCTTTACTGTGCTGTTTGTGAGACCTATGCTCCTGCCTTTCCATTGACAGCAGGTGTTACAAAATAAGAGCCAACTGCATTAAGGAATTCCATTAATTGCCCATACATGGCTCAGACAGAACTGACAGCCAGTGCCACCCCATGGCGACTTTAAATGTTCGTTCTGCAAGCAGATACTGCTCCAAAGCTCTCTTTTGGAGGCTCGAGGCTGCAGGTGGTGGGCTGGCATGTCTGTGCACCTGTGAGATTTTAAAAGTGCAGTGACTGTGTGAAAGGCAACTGTGAGAAGGTCAAGTTCAACTCTGAGTTACTGACACTATGCAGATCCACTCTCCGCCACCATCCTCTATGGGAAACTGACCTCTATAGACAGCTCTACCTGGGCTCCCCAGATTCCTTGCTTCCTGTTGGGATCAGCCAGCAAGAGGCTCTGATCTGGCATTGCGGGGTGGGGGGATGGAGGAGAGAGAGGCTGGAGTACTGGATCCTTCCACATGTCCCCACCCGCCTCCTTGCTTTGGGTGGCTCTGCAGTGGCCACGTCCAATCCACGGCCACCACTCCTGCAGGTTATCTCGTGGCTCCAACTCTCAGCTGAGCTCTGGTCACACGTTTTCCTTTAATGCCCCTCCAGGCACGGCAGGCGGAAAGGCATTCTTCCTGTAGAGCCCACTTCCTGGACATCCCTGTGGGCTCCCTTAGCCCAGCCACACGTCGGCCCCTTCCTTACAGACATCTCTGCTCCAACCCCAGCTGAGAGTGCTTTCTGTTTCCTGCTGCAACCCTGACTGATATACTTTGTTTAGATTTTCACCAAACTGTGACGGATGGGCCCCAGAGAACAGGGGTCTCAAATACAGGCCCTTGAAAAAGACAGTGTATGTTTTAAGAGCTGCTTATGACATGGAAAGATCAGATAACCACTTCTAAAACATGCTGAAGAGTGCTCCCCAGGAGTACAAGGCTGGCCCCACAGAGCATCTGACTGGGCGCAGTGAGAGGCAGGGACAGCCACCTCCACCTGCTGGCCTGGGTGCACCTCTGTCAATCTGACCCCCATCCTGGACTTCAGCAATAACTTTTTTTTTTTTTTTTCCTGAAATCCTCAAAACTGGTCCTTCTCATAATTAACTTGGTACTTAGCTGCCTTTCCTTGCACCCAAAACTATATCTGAAGACCCTGGAGAACAGGGATGTTAAGGGGTGAACAGTGTCTTCCCAGACTCACATGTAGAATCCTGACCCCCAGTATCTCAGATGTGACCTTATCTGAGACAAGCTCTTTACAGAGGTAACCAAGTTAAAATGAGGTCACAGGCCAGGCGCGGAAGCTCACGCTTGTAATACCAGCACTTTGGGAGGCCAAGGCAGGCAGATCACTTGAGGTCAGGAGTTCGAGACCAGCCTGACCAACATGGTGAAACCCCATCTCTACCAAGAATACAAAAATTAGCCGGGTGTGGTGACACATGCCTGTAATCCCAGCTACTGGGGAGGCTGAGGCACAAGAATCGTTTGAACCCAGGAGACAGAGGTTGCAGTGAGCTGAGATCACACCATTGCACTCCAGCCTGGGTGACAGAGTGAGACTCTGTCTCGAAAAATAAAAATAAATTAAATGCAGTCATTAGGGTGGGCCCTAAATCCAATATGATTGGATGACTGCTGTTCTTTTAAAAAAAGTGTGGGTGGATTTGAACATGGGATGGGCATATAGAAGGAGGATGCCCTGTGAACATGGAGGAGGCCATCTATAAGCCCAGAGACAGGCCTAGAACAGACCTTCCCTCGCAGCCCCCAGAAAGAACCAAATCAACTGGCACCTTGATCTTAGACTTCTAGACTCCAAGGCTGTGAGACAACACATTTCTGTCATTTAAGCCACCCAGTCTGTGGCACTTTCTTATGGCAGCCCGGCAAACGAATACAAGGGATGTTCTGACTTCTGTGCTGTATGTCTGCTTAGAACCCTCCATGGCTCCCCAGTACTTCTGGGGAAAAGTCAAAACTCTTCTGTGTGTGTGGCATAAAAGCCACTTCATGGTTTGGAACTTGCCTACCTTTCTAGGTGTAGGCGTATCTCCTGACTCTTCCTCAACGAATTCCCCAGGCTTGGCCACTGCAGTGTGAGTGGCCTCTGAACACCTTGTTCCCGCCGCCTGGCTGCTCTGCCCCCCACCCCTCCCAGCCTCGGGCTGATGTGGTGTCCCCTGTGCTGGACGCCTGTCCCTGCCATCCAACCCCTTGCTGCACTCTGCTGTAACCACCAGCACATTGGTCTCTCTAGCTAGACTGTGTGCATGCTGCGGGCAGGGCTGCGTCTCCCTCAGTCTTATATAACTAACACCGTGCCTGCTGCCTGGTGGGGCCTGGGGACTGTCTGAGGAGTAACTCAACAGCAGACATTCTGGCCACCCAGTACTTTGCATGCAGTAGGTGCTCAGGACACAGTTTGGGCTGACACATGTAGCATTCCTACAAATCCTGCCAAACCAAAGGGACTCAGGATAGGGCTGGCATGGCTGTGCGAAAGCAAGGACGTATCCCCTGCAGGAAGCCAGGGCTGGAGCCCAGCAGAGGCCAGGAGACTCAGAATAGCACCCAGGGCCGAATGGAGAGATGAGGGTGCTCTCTGCCTGTCCATGTACCCACTGGCCTGGGAGGTGCATGGTTATTGACTCAGGAAAATCTGTGTGGTTAATGACTCGGTAGAACGTTCCAGAAGTTCTACAACTGGGTTATCTCCCTCAGAAGGGAAGAGGGAGAGTGCAAGACTGGTTGTTTCTTGCTATTTCCTAGGAAACTTCCAGAGCACAAAAGTGCTGGGAGGAGGCAGAGGTTCCTGATACCATCCAGGGTCCTCACTATCTGCCCACAAATGTTACTGCTCTGAAACCACCCCTGACAGTTTGAGGTGGTGGAGGCTCTAGGTTCAGAAGGATCTGACCCAAGAGGCTGCTTCGACTGGAAAGGAGACTCCAGGGGAACAGAAAGAGGGGCTATTTCAAAGAGTCTGAGGCTGACCATGCTTCAGAAAAAAGAGAACCTTCAAAATGTGCAAGGGAGAACTACCCCAACCCCTTGTCTGAAGCTGGAGCTTCTTTTGGAATCCACTCTTTCCGGCTGAATACTGAACACTTTCCGAATTTCATGCGGAATACCTGCTTTGTTCTTCTTCTTGGAGATGGAGCAGCTCTTCACTGTCCCCACTTTTGAAAACACCTGGATAAGAAAGTAACAAGTATCATCAGCAGCTCTAAACCACTATGCAGGCAAGGGCACCTGTCAAACACTATACCCCCAAATTTGCCATATGGACACCTTGGGGTCCCAAAAACATTTTGAGGTGATGAGTGATGACCTCCTTTAAGTAACCTGGGCAGTCCCTTAGAGTTCCCCATAAGAGCAGCTGGGCTTGTTTCTCATTCCAGTTTTAGAAGAAGGAAGTAGGACACAGAACAGCGAGAGACTGACTGCAGATCATGCAATCGGGAAGCTGGGCCTAAGTTCCGAAGCATGGGGTCTACTGCCCCAGTCTGGACCTCTCTCACTGCCCCCTGCACCAAATGCCAGAATAATTTTTACAGAAATTTTAAGTCATAGTCTATTCTATTTTCCCCTTTACTTTTTCTGTCTCCTTTGCTAGAATTTGAAACCCACCCAGAGCAAAATCCATGTTTACCTGGTTCCCGGCTACGTCTTCAGCACTACACACAGAGCCCAGGGAAAGGCAGATACCCAATAAACATTCACTAAATGAGCAATGGGGAAGCCCAGGGGCCGGGGAGAAACTTGAGAAACAAACACTACGAGCAGCAGCTGCTTACTGACTCTTGTGTTTAAAGTGTCAGATGCTTTATTTGGAGTATCTCCTTCATCCAAATCATCAAAACAACTCCATGAGAAGAGTCTATTAACATCCCCATGTTACAGATGAAGAAACTGAGGCACAGAAAGGCTGAAGGACTCACTCAGGGTCACATCATTAGCAAGGGGCAAAGCTGGGATCCAAGCCCAGGTAGACTGATCGCTACGCATGGCTCTCCACTCAAGGTGCTGAGACAGGAGCCCTGGGAACTACGGGCTCTTCCCCGCAGGGCCTCAAGTGGACTGTGTGACCTAAGGACAGTGAACTGGCCTCTCTGAAGCTCAGTCTCCAGCCATGTTGCATGAAGAGACTGAACTAGGTCGTCTTGGCTATGACTTCCAGCTCCAGAATCCTTGAATTCAGAGGATGCTCTTGGGCTGCTGTTTGAGTGCATCTCCCAGGAAACAATGATCCCGGATAATGATGTTCCCATACCAGACCCGCACCAGAAAAAAAATAAAACTAACATTCAAATCTATCTGACATATTCAAATCTATCTACCTTTTGGATGCTACAAGTACATGCCGCCATTTAAAAGCAAAGCAAAACAAAAATGGAACCAGGAAATAGCCAAAGACAAGTCTAAGGGTGGGTTTCCAATTGCTGAAGAAGGTGAATCTTGGCTCCTTAAACGCTGCTGCTTTAGTCAGGGTATCTCTGCTGTTGGGGCTGCTCTTCTACTAGGTAAGGGGACAGTCACATCACAGAGGCTGAGCCAGAGGGTGTCAGAGGGGCTCTGACCCTCTGCCTCTCTACCACATCCCAATGTTTGCCTCCATATCTTCTGCCCACCATATTCCTACCCCTGAGGTTCAGTGGACACTGTCTTCTCTCTTGACCCCATGATCGAATTTTAGGGTTCAGAGGGATTTTTAGAAATCAATCAGGTCAATTCTTATGGCCAGCTTCCTTACCAGAACAAGTTGATGGCGATCAGCCTGCTGTTATTCATTAAAACAGAACAAAAAACTGAAAAACCCACTGAGTGTTTATTCTGTGCCAAGCCCAGACTCTAGAAATAAACAGTCTCCTGAGGGAGGTGCCACAAATTGGGGACCTTGCAGACCCCACTCCTTTGGAACTGGAGGCCCCGTTGTTTCCTGATCGCTGGTCCACTTCCTTCTAGAAGCCCCCGGCCCTCACTCAGGGCAGCCCTCATTTGGCTTTTACTAACCTTCTATGTGGAGCTCCCTGTCCTTTCATCCCCTTCCCTTTTCCCATAAATGCAAAAATCTCACCCCATCCAGGGATTCCAGGGTCAAGCCCAGACCCTCACTCACTGATGTGGCTTCTCCATTATTCCCAGCGGGCGAGAGGATTGTGCTGACATTTACTTTTGGGTATTTACATCATAGAAACAACTACTGCCTTCATATTACACGGTCTCCCGAAAGATTCCGGTATGCCTCCAAAGCGTATGTGGTAGCCCCTATCAGGGCCCCCGGCCAGCCTTGCTACTGCTCTAGTCTTCCGTTGAGTCATCTACTGGACACCCCAGGGGAAAGGGTCAAGTAGGTGGTGCTGGTTATTGCTCCCAAGTGCATATTAACACGCATCATGTTTCAGGGCAGAATAAATGCAGTGGCCGTATCAGTAGACTGGGGTTTCCCATCCCACGCCCCTCCCTCCTGGGCTGAGAAACCACTCACTTCCTTCAGCTTCTCTTCTGTTGTGTCAAAATTGAGATTCTTAATAAACAGAGTACATCCTGGGAGGCTCTCTTCTTCTTCTTCCTCTTCCTCCTCCTCCTCTTCCATCTTTGCTGAAGAGTTGTCTGCTCCTTCCTCTGTTGGATTTTCATCTTCTGGGGTTTCGCCATCAGGCACTGAACCCCCATCAAAACAAAAACAAAAACAAAAACATCAAATCCATGAAATAATGTCAAACCCACCAGAGCCCTGGGGCCAACTGCAAAAAGCCCACTAGGTAAAGGGGTTCTGCCTCTGCGGGCAGTGGCAGGAAGGGGCACCGTGATCCCCAACTTGTGCTGAGCTTCAGCAACTCTTGAGACAGAGAGAAAGTCCTGCCCCTGCTGTGTTGTAAAGAGAAAGGAATACAAAACACAGCCCTCAAATGGAGCCTTAAACAGGACCAGCTCACACTAATTTGAACTTGGAAATAAATTACCATGTGAACTGTTTTACTGAACCGTGAGCCTAAGCAAAACGTTATTTTTCCTCAAAAAACAAAAAAAAAAAAACAAAAAAAAAAAAACCAGCACTTAGTGAACTTTCAAACTAAAATGCAACTTAAAACTTTTAAAAAATTACAGAATGGGAACAAAACTTAGGAAGAGTCTAAATACCCCCTTGAACCTAAAGAATGTTACATACCATCGAAATCCCTCATATGCATTACTTCAGGAAGCATATACACAAAAGGTGTGGTTTTGTCTATACATATTAAATTCAGAGTTATGCATCACAGGGAAAAACGGAAAATACTCTATGTTCACAAACAAGAGACTAGGTAAGGTAGAGTACCACCAAAAGCTGGAAAAATATGTAGTCATTAAAAATGTCGTTTCCGAAGAACGTTTAATGACACACAACAAAGCTCATCATATAAAAGTTAGAGAAAAATTAAGATATTAAAAAAGTATATAACTGTAATTTTAGAAAATGTTCAATGTAATCCAAACCATGATCTAAGCTAGGTGCGGTGGCTCATGCCTGTAATCCCAGCACTCTGGGAGGCGGAGGCAGGTGGATTACTTGAGGTCAGGAGTTCAAGACTAGCCTGGCCAATGTGGTGAAACCTTGTCTCCACTAAAAACACAAAAATTAGCCGGGCATGGTGGTGGGCACCTATGATCCCAGCTACTTGGGAGGCTGAGGCACAAGAATTGCTCGAACCTGGGAGGCAGAGGTTGCAGTGAGCTGAGATCATGCCACTGCACTCCAGCCTGGGTGACAGAGTGAGACTCCATCTCAAAAATAAAACAAAACAAACAACAACAACAACAACAACAAAACCATGATCTGCACATTTATGAGAAAACATACATGTGCATACACACACACACACACACACACACACACACACACAGTGATCACAGGAAGGAGATGCACAAAGTGCTCCTGGTTTATTTCTGGAGGATGGCACTAGGGATGGTCGTCATTTCAACCTGTCACTGCTAGCACTTTGTACCGCTTCCACTCTGAAGGAACAGCATTTTAGGGAGAGGAAGAGCAGATGTGAAGTTGTGAGTTAGCAAGGGATGTGTGTGTGTGTGTGTGTGTGTGTGTGTGTGTGTGTCTGCAGCTCAGGGAGTTGGGAACAGGGAGACTAGACCTGCTAGCCTGCAGTGGCGCTAAGCATGTAGATTTCATTCTCAGCTGCCAGAAGCCTCAGGAAGTTGGAAGAGGGCAGTGTCATGATCTTTTCAGAAATCTTAGGAGGAAATGTGTTCAATTCGTTTCAAGCTCCCCAATTTCCCTAAGTCACATGATTAGGACCTGGAGACAAATTCCTCCTCCAAAGACAAGGCTTCTGAAGCTATTCCCATATCCCCCAGGAAATCAAACTGTCTTAGCAACTCTTCAAAGCAGTTCTCAGGCTGTGCCTTCACACCCCTCACCCTCAATGTTTCTAAGCAGATGACCAGTGACCTCCCCTAAGAGTTAAACCCTGCACCCCAGCCTGGCAGAAGCACCTGGAGGTCCCACGGGCGGGTACGCTGGAGCTGATGGAGACAGCCTGCTTCTTCTACTCACACCTTCACTTGCATAGTTCAAACTTCTTTGTGATGTAAGGGGGCTTCTTGGGGTTCAGCTGCATCCCACATACTCTCACCGCCAAGCACAAAAGATGCCTCTGTCTGTCCTGCCCTTTCTGATGCAAGCCTAATGCTTTCAAGTCCTAATTAAGCTTCGACCACTTTGTCATAAAACAACCCTTTTAAGCCCTTACAGAAACAGCTACCGTGATAATGCTGTCTCTTTAACATCAGTTGAACACACTGCCTTCCTCCCTCGGATAAGCCCAGAATCGAGACTCAGATACCAGCACAAAAAGAAGAAATCTACACAAAGGCTCCTCCCCCAACCAAGAAACTAACACAATTTACCCAACAAGAGAGACTCCATGGTGTGGCCCTTTGTACTTAAAACCCAACTTTCAAACAAAGCTGGAGGAAAAAGTACCACTAATGGTGAGAACGAAAGCTATGCAAGGCAGCTAAGACTTCAGGTCCTGGACCAGAACTTCAATGGAGATGAAAACCATGACCTTCAGCAGTGAATGATATTTCCACCCAGCTGGCCCTCCTTGGCATTTGACATCTTGGAGATTAAAGGAGAAAGGAAAGAACACTGATGAGATCCCCTGCCATGACCAGGCATGTGGTTGAATACCCTGAGTACAGTCTCACTCATGACCACAGCAGCCACATCACAGAAAACAGGGGGCCCAAGGAGAGTTCTGTAGGCTGCTGCATCTGTACCCGAAATCTCAGGCACCTTCTGGTTGGTGAGACAGGTTCATGGAAGACTGGAAAAAAATTTTATAGAGAAAAGCATAGTGGGGATGATGGTGACCAGGAGGGCTCATGGCCAGTTTAAAGGACAGCCCCTTCTTGGCACTGGCCAATTGACGGAAAGGTCAACCTAGCATGGCCAGAATTCAGATCTATTAAGAGAAGTAGGAAATCCAGCTTTACAGAGGAAATCCCATGGTTTTTAAATCTTGGCAACTTAATGGCAAGTGACTTTTGAATTAGGCAGTAGTCAGCAAGTACACCAGCTCATTGAAACCTCAGTGCTCTGCTCCCTGCATCTGGCCTGCCCCAGAGCACTGGCAAAGATGCCCTTCCCTCTTTCTGTCTCAAGGTCCCAGAACCCAGCCAGTGCCCGGCGTGGCATTCCAGGAGTTCCCAGTCTCACAAGGGTAATAACCCGGGGAGCCCAGAACCCCTCAGCATGGCTGGAGTTGACTCCACCCTGCCTCCCTGGTCTATGAGCAGTGGCTGGTGTGCTGCAAAGGGCATCTTTAAATGCCCAGGCACCTGCCCAAGGGGGTGTGATGTTTGGGTTTAGTAACACAGCTGAGACCAGTAATGGGCAGATCCCTTCCCTGGCAGATCAGCTGCCCTTAGCCCCAGCCCAGGAAGAACAAGAGGGAACTGTGAGGAAGGTGAAGACCTATTATCTGGGTGTGCAGTTGGCCTGGCATGGGGCTCACCTGGCATCTCCAACCTCCCATAAGTCAGCCTCTTACCCTCCCCTTCGGGAGGAACACCCAGCTTAAATGAAAGATGTGCTCAAAGGGGTCTGCCTTTCCTCCAGCAGCGCAGGCTCTGGCTGACCCCGGAGACGTCCGTTCTTTCCCTGAACCTTGAGTTCATAGCAACAACCGCCCTACACCTGAAACTTCACCCTGGATCCTAGAAGAACTAACAGTTCAAGGGCATCATGGTCTTTAGAGATCTGCCGGAGAAGGGGGCCTGGAAAAGACGAGGAGGGCAGGCCCAGTCCCAGCCCTGCCACAACCTAGCTGCATGGCCCTGGGTGAGTGACTTCACTGCTGTCTCTGCACCCTTACCTATAAAATAGAGCTTATTAAAACCACCTCTCCCCTAATACCAAAAATACATACACAAACAAAAACCCCAAAGTCATGCTCATTTGTAGGAAAATTGGTAAACAGAACAGTGAGTGACTGTAAACTCAATTACCAAATTTTAAAAGGACGATAATGTAATAATTATGACGAAGAATGCAAAATCTACATTTGAAGTTTAAATGAATTGTAAATTAATGTGAGTATATTGTATAGGATGTATTGTATAGGTTGTTTCAAAACCCAGCAAAGTGCAGGTGTATACAGACCACTGGCAAAGATAATGGCCCTTCCCCCTCTCTCCCACAAGGCCCCAGAACCCAGCTAGTCCCCAGCATGGCATTCCAGGAGTTCCCAAGTCTTATAAGGGCAACAACCTGGAGGGCCCAGCAGCCCTCAGCATGGCCTCCCAGGTCCATGAGCTGTGGCTGGTGTGCTTCGAAGGGGGAAGAGTTGTTATCTTTGCCAGCAGTCCTCATACACCTGCGCTTTGCTGGGCTGTTTAGAAATGCAAGTATCCACTATTTCCTCCACATGCCAGGCCATGGCTCTGTTACCCCTCACCTCACCTGGACAACTGAAGAGACTCCCTGCTGCTGTGCCCTCTGCCCCTCTCCCTGGCTCGCCACCTTCCCTGACTTCATCCCTCACCCTTTTCCCTTCTCTCCCGTCACCTCCGTTCCAAACGCACTGGTCTCTTTTCTGATGGCCGAGCCTGCCAAGCCCCCTTCCTACCACAGGGCCTTTGCACCTGCTGGCCTCTGCCTGTTCTGCTGGTCTGCTGCTTTCCCAGGCCTGGCTCCTTCTCACACAGCCTCCCCACAGGGAGCTCATCCTGTCCACTCTAGTTAAAGCAGTCTCCAGCCTGGGCCCAACCACTCGCTGTTCCATTCTTCTGCTTTCTTCTTTTCAGAGCCCTGTCCTATTCCATCATCACTGTATTGAGCAGTTTGCTCCTCTATCTGTGCTCCCCAACTACACAGGGAGCTCGAGACAGGACCCAGTCTGACTCAGTTGGCACTGAATCTCCAGCACTGGGCTCAGAACAGATCTACTTGTGGGCGATGAGTCTGTTGGGCACTCAGCATGTGCCTAGAACACAGCGATCATGAAATAGCCCTTATTGTGATCGAGAAGAGCTGTGAGGTCTTAGGTAAGAGCACAGGCCTCAGAGTTGATGGCTTCAGGTCATATCCCGGCTCTCTCCACATGTGTGACCTTGCTCAAGTCATGCAAACTCTCTGTGCTTCCTTCTTTCCATCTAAAAAGGGGCTGGCCATCATGGTGCCTACTTGCAGGACGATGATGAGAATGAATGCAGAGCAGGCTGCAAGACCTGAGCCTGGGCCTGCAGCGAGCACTGGGAGAGAACAGTTTCGTTCTTAATATTACCCTTGCTACCCACACTGCCCAGCAGGCCTTGCTGAGAGAGAAATCCAGGGGAAAATGTTGGAAATCCCTAACCCTGGGAGAGATAAGACAACCCAGTGTGGGGAGCCCTCGGCCCTCCCTCTCCTTCTCCCTGCAGGGTAAGCTGCTGGCTTCAGGCTCCCAGGAAGGCCAGCCAGTGCCAGGCGTCCGAGTCCACAGCTGGGCACCCTTGCCAGCCAGCTACTGCTCCCCGAGTCACCAGGCCAGGCTGTGTCCAGAGAGGCGTGGAGACAGCCAGGAGCCAAGGCCATGAAGCCAAAGGTCATTTTAAAAAGCACTTCTGCTGCTGGCCCCAAGTTGGGAGACAAAAGAAAGATGGGAAAGAAAAAAATAAGGTATTGTGAAACTCAAACAGATGTTTGCCAACAAAAACACCAGGAACCAGAAAAAGAGGGAAGAAGTGAGAAAGGAATCAGGGCTAGGCCTGGGGGCGGGGGAGTTGGGGGAAGGATCTAAAAGCAAGGTGGGCTGGAGGGGGTTGGGAGAGGCAGGGGAACTGTGCTTCCATCTGTAGTTAGCACAATCAAATCCAGTCACGCATCGCCACATGGGGCTTTATTATAATCAGGCCACAGAATTTACTGCGGCCTCCTCCCCTTTCCCGGCTCTCGGCGCTGGAGCTGACAGCAAAGACTGTTATCAGTTGCAAGCAGCTTTTCAGGACCTCCCCCCACTCTGAGCCCTTTATCTGGAGGTGAGGGTCTTGGTTGTGGGGAGATAAAACACGCTGTCCCCCTCCCTCGAGACTGGTACAGAGAACAGGAGAGCTTTGCAGAAAGGAAGGGGGTAAAATAAAAAAAAAAAGGTATGTCCACTCCCCTCCTACTCTTCTTCCTTGGGAGCCTGAGAAAATCCAGGGCTTTGTGGGCTGGCTGAGTCCCCCCAGCCCTCGTTGTCCTCGTACAACGGGGGAGTCGGGGATTTGGTGAAGCTTCAGGAACAATGCAAAGAGGGTGGGGGTGGGGGAGGAGCAGGTGAAAAGAACAGCACCCGCCAGGAGGGGCTGTGCATGTGCTGCGTGCAGTGAGGGCAGGAGGAGGCCCTGGAGATCAGCTCTGTGGGAATTCACCGATGACGCGGGACACAGCGGGGCTTGGAATTAGCACAGACACGCACAACTTCCCGGGCCAAAGGAGGCCCAGCGGCCGGGCTCTAAGGCCTTCTTTGTGTGAGTCATGGTCAGGCCCTGGAAAGCAGCCCCTCTGGGAGGTAGGGGCTGTTGGACACATGCTCAAACCTACAATGTAGACCCAGGAAGCAGGGGGACCCGCGGGCAGGGGGTGGGAAAACACTCTGACCGTAAACCACAGCATGCTATCTCCGTGATGCACCCTGTGCTGTGATGCAGACATTTCTGTACTCAGGGCCCACTTCTATTACTACTTGTGACATCTCACTTGTCCCCCAACAGCTCTATTGTCCTCCACAGCTCAAAAGTTCCTGGGGAAGGGGGTCTGTGCATCTGTGTGGTGTCCATCTTGATCACCCAGCTCGGCTGCTGGCTTGGGGCTGGTGCCCATGGTGAGTTAAAGACTATCCACTGTGCCATATTTTTCTAAATTTTAATTTAATTTTTGAGATAGGGTCTTGCTCTGTCACCCAGGCTGAGTGTAGTGGTGCAATCTCGGCTCACTGCAGCCTCCATCTTCCAGGCTCAAGTGATCCTCCAACCTCAGCCTCCTGAGTAGCTGGGACTACAAGGCATGCACCACTACGCCCAGCTAATTTTTGTATTTTTTGTAGAAATAGGGTTTTGCCATGCTGTCCAGGCTTGTCTTGAACTTCTGGACTCGAGTGATCCTCCTGCCTCAGCCTCCCAAGATGCACTGTGATTTATATTGCTCAGTCACCAACAGCAGCGGAAGACTGGTGATGTGCATGTGACATCCCACCACGCCCTCAGAGGGCGGGGCGGATATCATGCCCGTTTTACAGATATGGAAACTGAGCCTCAGAGAGGCAGGTGGCTTGGCCAGTCACAGAATGGCTGCTTACTGGAAATCTCAGGGCCATTTCCCCAGGGGCTCTAGGCCTCACATGATGAGGATGCCAAGGACTTAGAACCATGCCTAGCATGGCATAACTGCTGCTTTTGCTCTTGGGTTCACTCACACACACTTCCTGATCACTATCAGCCACTGGGGCACGTTCATGGGTGCTAGGATACTGCCGTGAGCAAGGTGAATGGGGTCTCGGCATGTGGAGTGGCCATTCCAGGGGCAGAGTCCGACAGAGCAACACCGGGGAAAGGAACCATTCATGACACAATTCCAGGAAGTGATAAGCATTTGAAATAAAATAAAGGGCCATTTGTGAGAGTGGGGACAAATGGGAGCCCCCTCTATTATTTTGATTGATGGTGTTATTGTCACCACTGTGTTCTGAGGCTGGGCTAACAACGAAAACCAAACGTTCAAACCTAACTAAGCTTCTACTGTGTGCCAGAGCCTTGGGACACAAAGACAAATATGACCCGGCCTCATCTTTCGAAGGAACAGAGAGGCAGATTCTCATGCATTCCCTCACTCCCTTGACACCTGTGAACCGAGCTTCCCTATGCCTGGGCCCCCCGGGGTGCTGGGTACCGGGCAGTGAAGGAGACAGCCCCATTCCCTGCCTTCACGGCTCAAAGTCTGGCTGAGATAGGAAACAAATACAAGTAACAAATAAACAGAATAAATAGAAATTGTGACAAGTGTTAGAGAAAAAAGAAGACAGCAGAGAGGGATAATCCCCAGGACACAAGGAAATGAAGAGCCTGGTGGAAGCGGTCACTTTGGGAGCCACCACGTGTCCCCAGCCTGCCTCCTGTTGCCACCCAAGGCTGCGGGAAGAGGCCTCCACCAATTTGTTTTCAGTGCCGCTCAGCCCTGGCTGATCTCTGCGTTTCAAAGGAGAACTCGCTTTGGGCCAAAAAAAAAAAACATTACTTAGGTTCAAGGGTGGTAACTGAAGTAAAAATCAAGGCAGCTGTGATTTGGGGGAGACAGTTAAGAACAAGCCAGGATGACATGAAGAGAATTTTGTTTTGATGGGAACAGGCACAGGTTTTGAAGGAGACCCTGATCCAAACTGAGTGGAGAGAGCTTAACTCATAAACGAGCAGGAGTCGGGCTTTCACAAGGTTTACACCAATCATCATTAACCCCAACGATGTGGGATGCTTCTGGGTCCTCAGATCGCAAAGGGACTGAAGGATTTTGTTTCCTGATTGAAACAGGCCTCCAGACAGGCACTTCCTGAATGCCTTGCGCTGGCTGAGCCAGTCCTGAAGATACACAGTGAAACAAGGAAATGAGAAATGTGGACAAGGCAGGGGAGGTTAGGTACAGCAAAGTCTATTCCACTAAAATCTTAGACTGGGCGTGGTGGCTTATGCCTGTAATCCCAGCACTTTGGGAGGCTGAGGCAGGCAGATCACTTGAGGCCAGGAATTCCAGACCAGCCTGGCCAATATGGTGAAACCCCGTCTCTACCAAAAATACAAAAAAATTAGCCAGGCGTGGTGGTGGGCGCCTGTAGTCCCAGCTACTCGGGAGGCTGAGGCAGGAGAATTGCTTCAACCCAGGAGGCAGAGGTTGCAGTGAGCCAAGATCGCGCACTCCAGCCTGGGCAACAGAGCAAGGCTCTGTCTCAAAAAAACAAAACAAAACAAAACAAAAAAAACAACTCTTAAATCTGACAGTGTTCCTCCCCATTTTTTTTTAACTATGAAATGTCCTTTAAAAAAAAATGAGAACAAAGGAGAGAGTAGCTGAGGACTTATTATTATTTTTTTTAACATCCTTATTTTAATAAGTTAAACAACTGGTTGCTGTATTGTGGGTGTGTATAGGTGAGTGGTTATTACTGACAAGGAAAATCGTAACATCTGGATAGAATGACCATGGTCCTGTTGGTCTTGGCTTCTAAGATGTGGTCATGGTCCTTAGACTATGAGGTCCTCGATGCGGGGGATACACTGCCCGCTGTGGGCATCTAGGAATGCGTGGGGGTGTTCCAGGTTGTCACAAGGACTGGGGGCACTCGTGACACTCAGAGGCACAGGCCAGGGATGTGAAATGTCTTGTGATTTGCAAAGCAGTCCTGACAAGAAAGTACTGTCCAGTCCCAAAGCCCAATGATACCCCTTTTCCCAGCTAGGAAGCATTAGCCAGGGGGTGGGGGTTGCCCTATCTGGCCCCCAGGGGCCACGGCTTCCCCTTCCTTTCCTGTCTTTGCAGTCACTGGACATCAGAGGGCACTGCCACTCCAAGGACATGAGAATAAGTATCTCCCATACCAGCCACCCTCCTCCATGAGCCATTCTGGTCCATCTCTGAAACAGGAAGGTTGTTTATACTTGCTCTGCTTTGAATCCTTGTTAATAGATAGTAATTTTTTTCCCCTAAAAGCTTTAATTGACAAACTAAAAGCATATTGCATCCATAATTTTGACACTGTTTTTTACAGGACATGCCCATAAAATCTGAGAGTCTGAGCCCTGCTGGTCTCTAGCATGAACAAAGAGCTTTAAACCAGAGGCTTGATAAGAAACTTCACGCTGCCCCCAACCCTCCTCCTTTCCCTCACCAGGATCCCAAGCCATCCTGGTCTCAGACTCAGCTCTTACCTGTTTCTGGCTCTGCTGGGTCCTTTTCCATGGGTTCTGAAGGTGTGTCTTGGAGCTTTTTCTTCTGTGGGGCTGTGCTGGAGAAGACGCCAACTGGAGCCCACTCCAGATAGAGGGGGACATGATGGAACTGCAGAGACAAGAGTGATGGCCCTGTGGGTCTTCATTACAACACACTGCTGGGGAGGGACTCAGTCCCATGCAGATCACAGCCCAAGGGTCACAGAGGATGGGCAACTCACCCAAGAATGGAGCCGGAAGGAGCCCAGCCCAGAGCCCTGACTGCTGTCTACTCCCTGAGGACAACATTCGGCCCCCATGCTGCATCTCAGGGTGCAGGAGAGAGGCTTTAGTCTCTGTTGCCACCAGACATATGGCAGCTCCCAGGCCCCCTTTGTGTTTTTTCCAATCAGAGTATGAAACTCTAAAGTTTCATACTTTAGATGGGAGTGGGACGAGGAGCGACCACATCACTGGTAAAGTGCAGCTCTCCAGGAGGAAGTGTAAAATACCCGTTAAGAGAACACACTTTCTCTCTATGTGCATATATCCACGGGCAACACCTGTATACGTGTGCATATGTGTGCATGCAGATGTTATTTTTTTAAAAGGATAGCTGGGCATGGTGGCACACACCTGTAGTCCTAGCTACTCAGGAAGCTGAGGTGGGAGGATCCCTTGAGCTCAGGAGTTTGAGGCTGCAGTGAGCTAGGATTCTGCCACTGCACTCCAGGGAAATCCTGCCTCTTAAAAAAAAAAAAAAAAAAAAAAAGAGGGGCCCTGGGCAGGCGGGTGATAAACAAGACACTGATGACACCTGCCTCATTAGGCGGTTACTGGGGAGCTGCAGGACAGGGGTGGGAGTGAGACTTGTCAACAAATGCCCTTTTTGAATCTTTTCAAATTTCCTACTCCATGAAAGCCTTGCAAATCAGTTATTTTCAGAGAAATACACATGCTTCAGAGTGAAACAGATTGGTGTGCAGACAGCAGGCTGCATCACTACTTAGCTGTGTGATCGTGGGTCAGGGCACCTCTCTGGGCATCAGTTTCCATATGTGCAAAATGAAGACAGCAGTCTTCTTGTCGGTGAAACAGACACTGCCCAAAACAGGAGGCCTCACCTAGTCAGTGTTCTCCAACTGTGGCTCACACAGAGAGAGCTTTTGGTGACTGGCATGTCCTCCCAAAGCAGAAGGAAGAAAGGATGGTGTCACATTCCAAAGGATGCTCACATCTCAGTCATGGGGCCCCACCTAGATAATTTTTCTTATGGGTCAGGCGCAGACTGACTTCCTGAGAGCTTAGTGGCCACAGAGTCCCAAGCTAAAGACTATTACGGGGTTAAAGTGGCAGAGAATGAGAAATCATTTCCTCACCAGCAAAATGGGGACATGAATATCTATCTCTAAGAATTGCTGGGGGGCATATGAATACCTATCTCTAAGAATTGCTGGGGGGGACATGAATATCTATCTCTAAGAATTGCTGAGGGAGACCAAGGTCTGCGAAGTGCTAAAGTGTCTTATAAACAGAAAATACTTGTAGTGGCACCGCAAGGGTATGTCTATATCTTGAACCCCTAGAAACCTGTGAACGCGCCCTTATTTGGAAAAAGGATCTTTGCAAATTTCATTAAGTGAAAGATTTTGAGATGAGATCATCTTGCATTATCCCGGCAGAGCCTAAATCCAATGACAAGTGTCCTTATAAGAGAAACAGGGAGGAAGACTGAGAGAAGAGGAAAAGCCAAGTGAGGATGAAGGGAGAAACTGGAGTGATGCAGCCATGGGCCAGGGATGCCTGGAGCCACCAGAAGCTGGAAGAGACACAGATCAGACTCCCTAGAGCCTTCAGAGGAAGCACAACCCTGCTGACACCTTGATTTCAGACTGTGGCCTTCGGAACCGTGGGATGATCTATTTCTGTTGTTTCAAGCCAACTAGCTTGTAATAATTTGTTATGACAGCCACAGCCAGCAAACTAATACACAACTGTTGGCTTTTTTCTAAACCAAGAACCAGGAGACAGCCCCACCTACAGAACTGACTTTCATTCATCTCATTGTAGCTACAGGATTACAAAAGCATCAAGAATGCTCATTCTTGGGCAAAATAGGGAGACCTTTGTCTCTACAAAAAATCAAAAAATTAGCCAGGCGTGGTGGTGCATGCCTGTAGTCTCAGCTACATGGGAGGCTGAGGTGGGAGGATTGCTTGAGCCCCAGAGTTCAAGGCTGCAGCGAACCAAGATGGCGCCACTGCACTGTAGCCTGGGTGGCAGAGCGAGACCCTGTCTTTCAAAATAAATAAATACTTTTTCAAAAAAATAATGAACACATTTAATTAAAATTAAAATGCTAATCCAAATTAACATGGGTAAAGAAAGCCAAAGAAAAGCTAGAGTCAGGCAAGGAACCAAGGCATGCTTTCTGGAGGATGGTTCAGAACTCCCTTCTCCCGGCCCGGCGCAGTGGCTCACGCCTGTAATCCCAGCACTTTGGGAGGCTGAGGCGGGCGGATCACGAGGTCAGGAGATCGAGACCATCCTGGTGAACACGGTGAAACCCCGTCTCTACCAAAAATATAAAAAAATTAGCCAGGCGGGGTGGCGGGTGCCTGTAGTCCCAGCTACTTGGGAGGCTGAGGCAGGAGAATGGCGTGAACCCGGGAGGCGGAGCTTGCAGTGAGCAGAGATCGCGCCACTGCACTCCAGCCTGGGTGACAGAGCAAGACTCTGTCTCAAAAAAAAAAAAGAACTTCCGTCTCCCATTCTTCCCATCCAGACAGGTTTTCAGGCGGCAGGGATGATATTCAGCCATGATCGTGACGGGCGGTTTAGGGTGAGCTCCCATGTGCCACATCTGTGAATCCATAGCCCACTGCACCCTCTCCCTTGAAGCAGCCCTCACTGGTCCTTCTCCAGATCAATTCTGGGTCTCCAGCAGCCCTACCTTGGAATAGGCCAGATGCCTGAAGGCCTTGCGGGCCTCCAGGGGCTCCAGGAACTCCACGATGGCAGTGATTCCGCCCTCTGGCAGCAGCACGCGGCCCAGGCTGCCAAAATGGCCGAAGGTCTCCTGCAGCTGGGCCGCCAGGGTGCCTGCCGGGAGGTTCTTGACCAGAATCACAGTCTTGCTTCGCTCTGCTGCAGCCTGCAAAGAGGAAATGCACACACATGGGACCACAGGAGGGAGGAGGGTCCCCAGCTGACACCAGCAGGGATCGTGGGGCTCTCCAGACAAGGCTCTCCATTTGGAACCTCAGCAACCAGGCACTTAGGAGGAAGACCCAGGAGGAACGACCCTCTCTGGCATGATGCTCCCTGCAAGGCTGCAAGGCAGCTCTGCAGAGGGGGTAAGGCCTGGGACTCTGAAGCTGGAGCTTCTGGATCAAATCCCAGCCCCTCCTCCACTCCTGAGCAGGGCCGCACTTTCCAAGGCTTCCAGTGGCTGGGGTCTGCATCTCAGTACCAAGGCTTTTTTTCCTGAACTACAGACCGCCCACCTGCTACCACGTGCAGCCAGCAGGACGTGCTGCAGAGCTAACGCCCCCTGGGAGCAGCCCACAGCTCTCAGGAGTTGCTGCACTCCTTGTCCTTGGGTGGGATGAGACTGAGGTATGAGTGCTGCAGGCTTTCCCCTAGGCAGAGCTCCAGGCAGCCACAGGGCAGCGTACTGCAGCAGCACACTCTGCACCCTGGGCTCCTTCCCTTCCCTGCATCCCTTTCTCACCAGAGTTTTCTGCACTGCCCCCAAAACTGTTTGCCCTTGAATCCTTGTCTCAGAATCTGCTTCTGGGAGAACCAAAACTAAAAGACTAAGCTATTCAGCCTTGAGAAATGTACTTAACTGTGCCTCAGCTCCCGCAGCGACAGCAAGGACAGAGCATTTATTTCACAGGATCGCTCCAGGAAAAGTTTTCATTAAATGGGTTAGTAAAAGTACATGTAATATGAGCACTCTGAAAACGTTAGCAATAATTTTATTAAAAAATAATGTTGGAGGAGGATAAAAGAGCCAATAAAATATAATGGAAAAATCTAGGCATATGGCCTATCTGGGAATAAGTCTTAGCTCAGCCGCTAATGTAACCTGAGACCTTGGGTCAATTACCTTGTTTCTGTGGGCCTCAATTTTTCTCATCTGCAAAATGGGCTAACAGTCACACCCATCTTATAGAGGCCACACAAGGTTACTATGAGGATTGAGTGAGGTGAGGGGAGTGAAAACCATCTGCAGGTGGGAAAGGCTGGGCACCTGTGGGCCTTTTAGGTGCAACTCAGGCCGCAGTGTTACAGTTAGAGAGACAGACTCTGGGGCCAGAAGGCCTGTGTTCAAACTCAGCTCCACCATGACTAGCTGTGAAGTGACTTCACCCCTCTGTGACTGTGGTTCCTTCTGTAGGGTGGAAGCACAGTAGAGCTGCTTTCACAGAGTGGCCATGTGAATGAAATGAGCTAATTAAACATGTAAACTTAGAAGAGTGCTTTGGTAAGTCTTAATAAATGTTAGCTATTAGTATATTTATTTTATCCATCTATCTACCCATCCATCCATGCATCATCTGTATTCATCCACCATCCATCCATCCATCCATCCATCCAACCATCAAGCCATCCATTCATCCACCATCCATATTCATCCTCCATCCATCCATCCATCCATCCATCCACCCATCCCCCATACATCTTCATTCATCCATCCTCCTCATCCATCTTGAGGTAAAAATGTGAGGCCTGGGAAGGCTGTTGAAAGGGCTGTTTTGGGAGTCAGAAGCCCTGAGTTTTAGTCCAGGCTCCTCTCACATATAGACTGTTTGACCTTGTAAGTCACCTCCCCACTCTGAGCGTTGGTATCCCAGATTGTAAAATGAAGGGGTCTCATGATGTCTTAGGGGCCCTCTAAGCTGCAGTCATCCATAAATCTAAGACCTGCTACTTGCTGGAGAACAGGCACATGGAGGTGCTGGACTCTTCCCTGCTAGGTTCAAGAAGGGTCAAAGTCCCCGAACAGATAACAGATGCTCTGGGAAGCCACTGGGTAGGGGAGTGAGATGTTGGGGGTGCCGATCTGTGTGGGGGAACTGTGGGGTTGTAGGCAGACCTCTTGTACATGGCTCTGGACAGACAGAATCAGGGTCAGATAGGCCACTTGTCTCAGCCCATGTAACATTTCTTCTTTTCTTTAGAGACAATTTAGAAATCAGTAATAGTCCTTAGAAGGCCAGATCCTTAAATCCATCTGCATCTCCCCTGGAAAGGCCATTCTCGACTCTCCAGTGGCTGCTGGCTGGCTGGCGCCACCGAGAACACCCACCTGGCTGAAGGAATCCAGGCTGACCCCGTTGTCTATGAGAAAACGCCGCACTTCCTGGACGAGCTGGGTTTCCCCCAGAGCCACGCGCACGGCCACGCTGCCCTTGGTCTCCTGTGGAAGAGGAAAGGAAGAGTTCTGGTTGGCTGTCGGCCAGGTGACTTGCTGGCCCTCCCATCTCCCAACAGCCTGAAGAGGAGGCTGGGATGGAAATGGATTCCACGGATGCCGCTCACCTTCCTACATTGATCAGATGCCCCCAACGGCTCTGTGCTTTTTTTTTTTTTTTTTTTTAAGAAGGACAGGGTCTCACTCTGTCATATCTGTCCCCCAGGCTGGAGTGCAGTGGTGTGATCATGGCTCACTGCAGCCTCAATCTCCCAGACTCATGCAATCTTCACACTTCAGCCTCCCTGAGTAGCTGGGACCACAGACGCACCCCACCACTTCCAGCTCATTTTTATATTTTTTGTAGAGATGGGAGTTTGCCATACTGCCCAGGCTGATCTTGAACTGCTAGGCTTAAGCAATCCACCTGCCTCAGCTTCCCAAAGTGCCAGGATTACAGGCGTGAGCCACTGTGCTTGGCCCCCCAGTGGCTCTGGCTTCCCAGGTCTCTCACAGTAGATCTGGGACCCCAGGGTCCCCTCTCCTGCACTCCCTCCCCTCATCATATGGGTCTTTGCTGCCACCCCATGCTGAGCTCATCTCACCGCAGGGCTCCTGCAGTTGTTGACCTTGGCCTCCATGGCTTTTACCCCACATTTCCTTGCTCCATTCAGTTTCTGCTTAAGTGTCACGTTGCTGACCAGCCCACCCTTGCGGTGACACCCTATCCCTCCCTTGGCTTTTCTGTTCTCTGCCCTCACCAGGCCTGCCGCACTGCACCTCTGCTAATGTGTCAGTGTCTTTTCCCTCATCGGAAAGCACCAGAGGAACCTCACTGCTCCTGTTTTGGGGGTTGCTGCATTCCGAGAACTCAGAGTACTCGGGGGATCTGAAGCGGCTGCAGGCCCCCAGCTGGCCTGGGTCTAGAATTGTGCCATCCAACACAGTGCCACAAGCCCCTCAGAGCCCCTCAGTATGTGAAATGCAACGCGACACATCCAAAGTGCTCTCCGTGGAAAACACACACAGAATTCCGTGAGGAAAAAAAGACTACAATAGCTTGCAATTTTTTTTTTTAACATTGTGCATATGTTGAAATGATAATATTTTGGACAGCCCAGTGGCTCACGCCCATAATCCCAGCACTTTGGGAGGCTGAGGCAGGGGGATCACCTGAGGTCAGGAGTTCGAGACCAGCCTGACTGACCAACATGGAGAAACCTCATCTCTACTAAAAATACAAAATTAGCCAGGCATGGTGGTGCGTGCCTGTAATCCCAGCTACTTGGGAGGCTGAGGCTGGAGAATTGCTTGAACCCGAGAGGCAGAGGTTTTGGTTAGCCGAGATCACAGCATTGCACTCCAGCCTGGGCAACAAGAGGAAAACTCTGTCTCAGGAGGGAGGGAAAATGTCTTGGATATACTGAGTTACATGAAATATATTATTAATATTAATTTTGTCTGTTTCATTTAGCCTTTTAAACATGTGGCCACTAGACCATTTCCAACTACACATGTGGCTCACATTCCCTAATGGACAGCACTGACCTTCAGTGCCTGGTGGACAGCAATGGGCAAGGAGCTTACGAGCCAAATCCACCCATGTCAAAAACATTCCCAGGTTTGCCTGGGAAGAACTCAGCTGCCTCTAACTCCAGATGCATGTTTTTTTTTTTTTTTTTTTTTTTTGGGGCAGACTCTCGCTCTGTCACCTGGGCTGGAGTACAGTGGCATGATCTCGGCTCATTGCAACCTGCCTCCTGGGTTCAAGCGATTCTCCTGCCTCAGCCTCCCAAATAGCTGGGATTACAGGCATGCACCACCACACAAGGCTAATTTTTGTATTTTTAGTAGAGATGGGGTTTCTCCATGTTGGCCAGGCTGGTCTCGAACTCCTGACCTCTAGTGATCCACCTGCCTCAGCCTTCCAAAGAGCTCGGTTTATAGGTGTGAGCCACCGTTCCCAACCCAGATGCATGCATTTTAAAAGAAGGTATGAGGATACAAAATATACAAAGAAGGGGGCATTTTCAGGCTTTCTGCAAAGTACCTTAGACAAAGTATACTTTGTACTTCATATATATAAAATATACTTTATATGACTCCTGCCTGTAATCCCAACACTTTGGGAGGCCAAGGTGGCATGATCACTTGAGCCTAGAAGTTTGAGACCAGACTGGGCCACATAGTGAGACCCCATCTCTGCAAAACTAAAAATAAATTAGGCATGATGGCATGCATCTGTAGTCCTAGCCACTCGGGAGGTGAGGTGGGAGGACTGCTTTAGCCAAGAATTTGGGAGGCTGCAGTGAGCTATGAGCTATGGTCATGTCACTGCACTCCAGCCTGGGTGACAGAGCAACTCTGTCTCAAAAAAAAATTATATATACATGTGTATATATGTATATGAATGTGTATATATATGTATATATAAAAATGTATATATATATACACATTTATATACATATACACACACACACACCCCTACTTGAATATACCTTTTAAAAAGTATCCTTTTATAGAAGGTACAAAGCACATATAGGATCCAAAGTAGAAAGAATACAAAAGAGCAGATATGTCAGCTGTGTAAGTCTAGAGATCTAATATAAATGTACAACATGAAGACTAGAGTTAACATTGGAGATTTCTGCTTCTAGCAAAATCTCTTGTAGTGGATTTTAGTTGTTTTTGCCACACACACAAAAAGGGCAAGTGTGAGATGATGGAAATGTTAATTGGCTGGCCTATGGTAAGCATTTCACTATCTATATGTCTATCAAAACATCATGTTGATTTTTAAAGCTATGTGATATGGAGGAGCTGGATGGATGGGGAAGTCAGAAGGAATAAAGCTAGACTTGGGAGAGAAGGAGGAACGGAACCCAGCGACCCCCTCCTCTGGCTTCAGAGACTGGGGCTGCCTGGGCTGCGGAAATCATGAGACATGGTTCAGAGCCAAGGCACCGGAGTTGGCCAGACCTGGTGTCCTCCCACCTCCACCTCTTTGCAAGTCTGTGACCTTGGACAAGTTATTGTGTCCCTGGATCTCGGTTTCTTCATCTGGACAATGGGATACAACAAACCCTACTTCACAGGGCCATTGTGAGGAGTACCACACACTAATTCTCAGGAATGTCACCTGTCAACACCACTGTCAATCACATTCTCCGGGGTGGCTCCACATAAGGGCATGAGAAGCCAGGGCTGGAGCCTGGCTGGGGATGTTTCCAAAGGGAGGGCTGGGAGAGCACCTTCCATTCCAGAGGCCTCTGGGAAGGCCCAAGAGGAAAGCCCTGGCGGCCCCAGCCTCACAGCCAACAGCAGTACAACGAGCCTCCTGCTCTTTCTCCCCTTCAGTTTGGCCCAGATCCCAGAGAGGACTGGTCGGCCCTTACTCACGTGGTCAAACACTTGACTCTTGGTGGCGTTGTACTTCTGTGCGATGGCATCGGCCACGGCATTCGGCCCCATGAATAGTGTGTTCCAGTTGTGAGAGCTAAGAGGCAGAGGCAGAACAGGGAGATCAGACCGCAGCTGGATGAGGGGAACTCGTTCTCAGACACGAATCCTGTAAGAAATGGGCTCCTAGGCCTGCCTATCTACATGCCCCCAATTTCCCTATCATGGGCTACGTATACAGGGCCTGAAGACAACAAGACGGATGATGACAGGAACCATCCCTAACAGTGCTTCATCTGTGTCAGGGACTAAGAACTTCACATACATTCACTCATTTAAACCTTACAGCACCATAAAAGTAAGGCACTACTATTATTCTCCCATTTTACAGATGAGAAAACTGAAGCTCGGTAAGGTATGAACTAAACCCATCAGGAGTCAGAAGACCCAGGTGGCTTAGAAAGGGCAGGGTGAGGGTGGCAGAGGGTTGGGGTTGGAGCTCAGTGGTTTCAGGGGCACTGAGGACCTGGCACTGTTGGCTTTGTCCTGGGCCTCCTTCTTCTTCTTGTAGGACGACGATCCCAGGGCACTGGCATCCTCGCTGGCTTCCTTCTTGATGGTAGATGGTAACACGTGGAGCATCCTGCCCTGGATGGGAATGACGGGAAGGGAGTAAACAGAAGCCTTGCCTGTAAGCCCTGCTTCCTGCCGAAGGATGTTGGCTTCTGCCACGAGTAAGCTGGACCCAGCACTGAAACCCTGACCAGAGGGTGGGAGGGAGGTCAGGTAGAACGTGGCCACTCTCTTCCCACCTGACACAGGATCCTGATGTCGTGAGGGGGCCACCTGACACAGCTACACACACAAAACTTCGATCAGTGTATAACCCCGCACCCGCAGCCCTCTCCCCGCCTCTCAAGCCTGCATCGCATCCTGTCCCTGCACCAGTGAGTAAGAATGTGAGGTCCATGCCGGTGGGGCCAGGTCTGGCCTGATGGCAACAAGGGGATCAAGAAATCATGAATAAATCAATGAATGAATGAGAAAAGGAAAAAGGGTGATGATGAGGCAGCCTGGGGCTTGAGGATGTATGCTAAGTATATTACTTGGTAACACTGGGAAAAGAGAAGTTTCTTTTATTCCACTGTGGCCATTTTAATAGGTCCCTGTCAAAATTCTTTTCTTCTTACTCCTCTTCTAAGGTGGTATCTATAGAGATGGAGAGCAAATTCATCCATTCAAGGAGTATTTTTTCAGTGCCTGCTAAGTGCCAGACAGAGGTGTAGGTGCCACAGATCAGTGACCAGAACAGATCAGACCGTGCCCTCACACGACTTCTTACTCTCCAGTGGCTTGAGTGAGGCAGTGACTTAGCATGCCATTGCACATTTTCTTAGGCCCACAAAGTGGACGCCCGTGTCCACACACATACACACACACACACACCAGCCTTTCCCGACCATGTGAGCCCCACAGCCTCCTGGCCAGCCCAGGACGGGGCCTCACCTGGAATACCTGCCCGTCCACCTCCGAGTAGGCCTTCACAGCGTGCTCAGGGAACATGAAGGTGATGAATGCAAAACCCTTGGGTTTCTTGGTCAGGCTGTCGATGGGGTAGTGGAGCTCAGACAGGGGACCTGAGGACAGGAGAAGTGTCGGTCTCTGGTAGGCCGCAGCCACTTGGCCCCAGGGAAGAATGTGGTGAGCACCAGCTGTGAGCCAACCTCACAGGTCATGGGTGTCATTTCCCAGTCCCCTACGTGTGTCTATCCTAACAGCAACAATACCTGGGCTGGAGCCCAGCACCACCACCTATTACACATGAAGCTTGCCTTGAGCAAATCACTAAGCCTCCCCATGCCTCAGTCTTTTCATCTGTAAAACAGCACAACAGTACCTAGCTCATGGGCTAAATGCGTTCATGCGTGCATAGTGCACTAAACAGTGCCTGCTAGAGTTAGTGCCAAAGAAGTGTCTTCCATGATGATATTAGCATCATGCTCAAATTAAAGCACACCCTTTCTGCATTGGTTTCAACTCTGAATGCCAGGGTGTGACCGCGTCCCCTCTCTGGGTCTTTCCTTCCCAAATGGACATTTGCAATATATCGACAAATGCTTCTCCCCCTCAGCCCACCCATGAGGTGTAAGCCGGGATGCCAGCCTGTGTGAAGGATATGGTGAGCAGACTGGTGAATGGAACACACAGTTCCACTGGGGCAGGCCCCAGGCTTGGAGGTCAGGTCAATTTTCCTGATGGCATGCTCCACTCAGGGCATCCTTACCCTGACAACGGGGCCCACATCAGGTGTTCAACCTACATCTCCAATCCTCCACAACCTACAGCTGGCCTCTGAATAGACATGGGGAGACACTGCGGGGATCTCAAAGGTATCAAGACCTCCCCTCATCCTGAACCCTCCCTTCCTGCCCTTCAACAATGGTAACTCCACAAACAAACACAGCCTGTTGTGACCAAGCTGGACTACAGGCCCTCAAGCCCATGGCCTGAGAAATAACAGCAACAACAACACTAACCTTGACACTATCAAATCTATTTGGTGCTCAGCTTGGATAAGAAGACTTTACATAATTAAGAGTTCAGATACGGAGGAACGCCGTGTAGGTATATTCATCAGGTGAAACCTGTACAGTTACTCAATTCCAATACCGAGTGGCATGACTTTGGACAGCAAGGGAGTATCTCAAAAAAGTCATCCGAATTGCTTCAATTCTGAATTTGGAGAAGTTAGAGAGTTCAGACAGCAAAGGATGCCAGTGATGCTATTAATACCTTTTACTTCCTGCCCTGCGAATCCCTGCATTCATCATGTCACTGAATCCTCACAGCAGCTCAGGGGTACTTGGTCCCATTTTACAGATGAGAAAACTGAGGCAAGAGATGTGGAGTCGTGTGCACACTGGGACTTGAACCCAGGACGTCAGAGTGAGAGCCCGGCTCCCATAGCCGCTGGGCTATCCACGGCCCGGAGGCCACACCCCTACCATATTTGGAGAAGAGCTTCTCCAGATCCTCCTCGGTGCTGGTGTAGGGCAGGTTCCGTACAAAGAGCCTTCCGGATTCGGCCAGGTCCTCCTCCTCTTCGTTCTCCCCGAGTATCCGGCCTTGCCAGGATTTGGTGGTATTCTTTGGTGCACCCTTGGTGGTGGGGACGTTCTTTTCCCTGAACACCTCGATGTAGCGCCCACCTGCAATGAAGAGGAGTCAGGGCTCCAGGGGGAGGCCTAGAACTTGCCAGCAACTCCTTGCTGGTGACTCCAAACTCTTCTCTGCTGCCTTCCAAAAAACACAATCAAGGTGGCAGATGACAGCACCCAACACCTGCCCTGTCACCTGAGGCGGCAGCATAAGCCAAGCCAACACCAGGCCTGAACCCAAATCTCACTCACCCTGCCAGTTCAGCTTCAGCCCTGGAGGGAGCCTGCCTGAGTTATCCCAGACCACGGTGATGCATTCTCTAAACTCCGGGCTGTATTCTCTGGCACTGCTTGCTGTTCTGCCTTGGGAAGGGTCTTAGGTGACAGCCCAGCCCTGGGTACTTACCTGCTGATGATTTATTTGCACGCATAGCCCCTGTGCCTGATTAGGGTGCTATTATCACTGTATCCTGCACAGGCACTACTAGGTGCTCAATAAATACCCACCTCCTGACTTGCTAACAAGATTCCCAAGGCTCTCCATCCTTCTCTAACACAACTCATGTCTTCACTGGGGTTGATGGCTGGATTCAAATCACTTGTCTTGGCCAGGGATTGGTCAAAGAATACATCCCTGGGTATTGTTCAGAAGACCTCCCAACTCCAGGGAATTTGCACGTGCTGTTCCCTCTACTGAACATCCTGTCCGTAGAGCCAGAGCCTACACAACTGTAGGTTTGTGTCCCAATGTCACCCCTCGGTGAGGCCAAAGCAGACAGGACCCTGTTTAAAGCCAAGCCTCCTCCAATCCCTGCCCTCCCCAGGACCCGTGCCTGCTGTGTGTTTCCCTGTAGCATGGATCACACATTTAACCACCTGTCTCTCCCTCCTAAGTCAGTTTACTCTCTGTCAGCCCCGAAAGGGCAGGGATTTGGGTCTGTTTGCTCCCTGCCATGTCCCCAGTGCCTAGAACAGTGTCTGCAGAGACACTGCATTCTTGGTGGTGGTGATGGTGCTGGTACAAGAACGTGTAAAGGAAATGAAGGAACGAAGGAACGCTGTAACACAGAGAGAGCACATGGCCAGGGCTTCCTTACCCATGTACTCCCGGTTGCATTTCAGAGCTTGCTTCACTTCCTCTTCATTGCTGAAATCCACAAAGATGTATCCTGACAGAGGACAATGACAGAGGTAAAATCTGCAGGCCTTGCAGACACTTGTGGTGGTCCCCAGAGGAACACCCATACTGTGCTAGGAGCAGAAAGTGAGGGAGAAACCTCTACCTTGGTCAGATCTCCAAAATACAAAGGGTCTCCCTCTCTCTGTCTCCCACCCACAGCCAAATTTCCCTCTGCAGGGAGTGTACAGACCCCAGCCCGGTGTCATGGATGAAGATGCTGAATGCCAGGAGTTGGAAGCCCAGGAGGCCTTTCTGTCTCCCTCCAAGCCTCACCCCCATCCCCCGACTGGCACCTGCTCTAAGCCATTCTCTGGAGAAGGGCCTGTGGCTACAGCATGAGGACCCACCTAGGCGCTGGAAGCACCTTCTCCACACCCACTCTGCTCCTGGGCACCTGAGGCCTTGACTTGCACAAAAAAACAAGCAAATGGGGGAGTCTTTCCTCTAGCATGAGAGGCTCTGCTTCCTGACCTCTTTGGGCCTCAAACCTGTGAGGCAACAAGGTGAGGGGTGAGGACCATTCCCCTGCTTTTCTGGAGCATTAAAGAAATACTCCGAGGGGCACTCGGCTAATAGCTGGCAATGTCTAATACTTGGTCCAAAGCCCTTGGGTTTTCTGCCTTTAATCACAAGGCTGTTTAGATTCTTTCTGTGACTCCTCCATGCCCTCCTTTCCTATATCCAGGCACCTCATCCATCCCCATAAACATCTTCCGTCCTTTTCCCTCCCCCTCTCCATGGCCACACCCTAGGCCCCATCACCACTGATCCTCCCTTAGACGATGGCAAACGCCTGGCTCCAGGACCCATTCTTCACCTGCCAGGGACCATCCTAAATGTGATCACTGCCCTCCCCTGCTCTAAGCTCCCAGGGGCCCCTGCATCCAGACTGAAGCCCACAATCTTTTTCTTTTTGAGATTGGGTCTTGCTATGTTGTCCAGGCTGGATTTGAACTCCTAGGCTCAAGTAATCCTCCTACTTCAGCCTCCTGAGTAGCTGAGACACACAATCTTTAATGAGGCCCCTAAAGCTTAAGGGGCCCAGCCTGCCTCCTCCCCAGCTCTCCTGCAGGGGACATTCAGCTGCTTTTCAACATTTCATGCTTGGATGCCGGCTCTCTCCAACTCTGGGGCCTCCAATATGGTTTTCTCTTGGGTCTGACAACTCAGATATGTTTCTTCCTGCTCCCTCCCTGGTCTGTGAAGTGCCATAAAACCAAGGGTACCAGCACCATCACCACCACCATCATGAATATTAACAGCAGCTTTCATGGAGTGTGCAACAGGGGCTCAGCACTGCTCTAAATGCTGTACACAGAGCCATTCATGCAACTTGGTGAGACAGGTTTACCTGACTGCACACACACACACAAACACACACACACTCACACACACAAACAAACTGAGGCTAAGTCCCTTGTCCAAGGTCATAGGGCTCCTACCTGAGATCTGCACTTAGGCAGAGCCCTTTACCCTGACCTCATCCTGCCCTGTAATCAGTCTGCAAGGAGAAGGATGGGTGGCTGAATGGATCAGCTGGGTAAGTGGGACTTCCGTGATAAGAGGAGAGTTGGGGAAGAAATGCAGAAACATGACAGTGAGGAGACCATCCCTCAAGCACACTTTCTTCCCCAGATGTCAGCCTAGGTAGATCTCAACTGCTCTACCCAGGCCAGTGTCTTCTTGCCAAAGACAGAGTACACATCCAGCGGCTTCCAGCCTCCAGCCTCCCCGCAGCTACAGGGCCTCAGTGTGGTTCTCTTGAGAAGTAGCAAGTCAGCTGCTGAATCTCCCAGTGTCCTGGCCAGCAAGAAGTAGGCACGGACAGGTGCCCACCTCCCCGAGCTCAGACACTCTGCCTTCCAGCCACACTGCTCATCTCAGGATGACCAGAACCCAGGGCTCTGAAGCCAAGGGAGGTGCCTGGTTGGTTGCCCAGAGTATAAACCTGCAGGGAGGGTGGCACGGGGCAACACCACACATGCTCAGCAACTCAGAGCCCTGCCCACCAGCAGAGCTGCCTGTGGACTTGGCCTAGCAAACCCCAGGACCTGTTGGCATTTGTTTCAGCGTAATAGGTGAGCCCACTGAGATAGGCAAAGGCTAAGATGAGGAAGGGAAGGATGAAAAGCACAGGTGAGAACTCCATCCCTATACACTAGGCCACCAAAGGCTGGGGCAAGAGATGCAGCCTTAACCTGCCCAGGCTGACCACATCCACACAACTGAGGACCACAAACAGGAAGAAAAACGGGTGCCCTTAAAACTTCTTCCTTATTCAAGTACCCCAACCTTCAATCTTCACTGTCTACCCGCCTTCCCACCTGGAAACATCCTGGATCTTACCTGTTTTATTCCCATGAGCGTTTCTCACAATTCGAATGGCCACTGGTTTCAGGGGTGCCAGGAATTCCATAACATTTTTCTGTGAGAAGAAGTTTTTTTCCCCTTACCAACCACATAATAAAAGTACAACCCAACGAAAAGACATGGGGCAAATTTCTAAATCAGAAAGGATTACAAAGTGTTTCATTCTTTAGTTTTTCTCTTTCCTTATACGTATCGCTTCTCCAATTACCTTGGAGAAAATGTGAAAAAGAAAATTGGAGGAGAAATGAGTAATATAAATATAAAATAGCAGTGTCACTATCAGCGTTAAAATAGCGATGTCACGATCCGCATTTCAAGGCACTGTTTCCCCCCTAGATAATTGTATATACTTGGGATTAAACCTGGCTTTTTTCACTTCTCATTAAGCTTGAGTATTTGGTTTTTGTGTATTAGTTTTGCAAGTAGCCACCTAGTGGTTTTGGTTTTGTTAATTAAAGCATGTGATTTTCTGAATGGTTGATACTGAAAGAATTCTGACAAAATTACAAGCAACTCAGTGAGTTTAATAAAACCTACATGCTTGCTACTCTGAAGTTTGATAAGTTGTAATTCAGATATTTATAAACATAGAGTACCAGAACAGATAAAGACTTCAAGAGAAAAAAGGGCAAAAGACATGATCGGGCACTTTCCAAAAGAGAAGATATATTGGCCAGGTGCGGTGGCTCACGCCTGTAATCCCAGCACTTTGGGAGTCCAAGGCGGGTGATCACCCGAGGTCAGGAGTTCGAGACCAGCCTGGCCAACATGGTGAAACGCTGTCTCTACTAAAAATACAAAAATTAGCTGGACATGGTGACAGGTGCCTGTAATCCCAGCTACCCGAGAGGCTGAGGCAGGAGAATCACTTGAACCCGGGAGGCGGAGGTTGCAGTGAGCTGAGATTGCACCATTGTACTCCAGCCTGGGAGATAAGAGCGAAACTCTGTCTCAAAACAACAATGACAACAAGATATACACGATCTACAAATGTGAGAGAGTATGATCCATCTTACAAGTAATTTAAAATATAAATTAACATGAGATGCCAATTTTACCTATCACATTGATGAAACATTAATAATACCCAGGGTTCAGGAAAATGGGCACTTGTAGACTCTGCTACAGCGAGCATAAACTAGCAATGCTCCCAGAGGGCAACTGATATTATGTGCCAAAGCCTTAGAATTGTACACACATTTGCCTACACAGAATATTTATCTGGAGCAAAGATCAGCAAACTATGGCCCACGGGCCAAATATCACCATGGTCTGCTTTTGAATGGCTTGCAAGCTAAAAATGGTTTTTACATTTTAAAGGATTACCAAAAAAAGAGAAAACAACGAATATGTGACAGAGATTAAATGGCTTACAAAGCCTGACATATTTACCATCTGGCCTTTACAGACGAAGTCTGCTCACCCCTAATCCCAAGGAACTGAATTATTATTTATAACAGCAAAAAATTGGATATAACTCCCACGTCCCAATTTAGGGGACTGAGTAAACCTACAGAAGTTTACCCTGAGTAAGGAAGAGCATGAGCATAAAAAATGCTGCTGTAGCAGAGTATATTCAATATTCAAAGAGGTCTATAACATACCATGATGAGGAGGAAAAAGGGGTTTCCAAAGAGTTCCCAGTAAATGATTGCTTCTTAGACATACAAAGACAAAAACGTCCAAGAAGAGGCTTCAGTGAGCTATGATGGCAGCACTGTACTACAGCCTGGGCAACACAGTGAGACCCTGTCTCACACACACACACAAAAATAATAATAATAAAAACTAAAAACAAAGGAAAACAAAACAAAAACCATCTAAGAAGACACACCCAAAATGTATCAGTGGACGTCACTGGGTAGATACAAGTGTGTTGGCCAGGGCAGCCCTAGTTTGCCTGGGATGAGTTGTCACTGTATTTGGAGTCGTTAGACCTGCGGTAATTACATCCACAGCCTGGCACCCCATTGGGGTAGCACCCCTCTCACTCTCAATTTAGTGTAGATGATAATTTAGTAGTCATCCTACTTACAGGCAATTTTTAAATATTTTTTATTTAGCTACATGGTTTTGAGTTTTCTATATTGAACTACTACTTTCACGAAGAACGAAAATTAAGTGTTCTTCTGCTGTTACAGACCCAAAGGCAGCAAACTACAGTCCACAGGCCAAATCTGGCTCACTGCCTGTTTTTGTAACTAAAGTTTTATTTATTTTTACCTACTTTCTGAGACTGCTTCCTTGCTATAAGAGCAGGGTGAGTAGTCACAACAGAGACCGTGTTGATCACGAAGTCTTAAATATTAACTGGCTGACTGCCCCCACAACCTTTTCTTTAACAGAGTGTGTGCCCACCCTGGTGTGGGTACTGGTGAGTGAAACCAGAACCTCCTTTGTCTTGGTGTAGCCATGCCTGTTTCCTGACCCTGACGATGCCGGAGATGTTATTTCTCAGCCTTTTTGGCCCCCAATTCCTTCCAGCTCATGTCCTCAACCGACTCTAATGCCCCCATGCACCAAAGGCTCCTGGCCTCCCCACCCTCGTCTCCTGCTCCCGCAGGCTGCCGACCCTTGTCCTCAGTTAGCACATACCTCTGTGACATTGAACGGGGCTCCCCGCAGCTTCACGGTGTGGCAGGTGGTGGGTTCCTTCTGGTTTGCTGGTTTCTCTGTCTGAGTGATCACAAAAACAAACAGAAGTGGCCACACTAACCCTTCGTACAGCTGCAGGAGGTGGCACACTGGGACATTTCAGTGCCAGAGAAGGTGCCTGCCGCCAGGGGGAGCTGGGGAATGCTGGGAAGAATCAATGTCCACCGTGTATGGAGTCTGGCCAGAGGTGGGGCTAGGTGATGCCAAGTCTCCATGTGCCCCTGAGACGAGGGCTGGAACCAGAGCCTGGCAAGCTATGGGCACCTGGACAGGGACCCTGGGGCTACAAGGAGGGGCAGGGTGGGAATGTGAAGGAGCCCTGAAGAACGGGGTGTCAGTACCACTATGTAGGGCTTATCAGTGCCAGACACTAAGCCAAGCACTTTACAGATGCCAGTGATCTACTACATCTTCACAACAATCCCATGGGGATTATGGGTTCAGGATCCTTTTTCCCACAACTCCGGAATCCAGACACCTCTGAAAAAACCTAAGTTTCTGGTAACCTTTATGGCAACAAAACCTGCCCCGACTTGAATGCACTTCCCAGCAAAGCCTGCCCTGAGTGGATGTGAGCCCATATATAGCTTATGCTGATTCACGCAGCGCAAGCAGTCTTGTCCATGCGTTGCAGAAATGTGACTGCGCTTGACCGTGGGGTGCTGCCTTTTATCCTGTATTTAGTAACAAGGTAGGCAGAGGGGAGTGAGCCCTGCTGGGGGTGCTGCATTCCAGAGGGTTCTCTTCCTGAAACCTGAAGATTCCAGAATTCCAGCATATACTTAGGCACGGGGTCAGAAACCGGAGGCAGGGAGCAGTGCTACCATGAGTGCCTTTTTGTAAACGAAAATTCAGAGGCTGAAGGAAGTAAAGTATCTCACCCAAGGACCAACAGCCACTAAATGATGGAACTAGGATTTGAACTCATAATTCTGACTTCCCCACACTCTACTACCTCACTGAAATATACAATTTTGGGGGGGAAGAAAAGGACAGAGTGCATAATTAGAAGAGGCAGAAAATAAAAGGAGGGAGGAAGAAGAAAGGGAAAAGAGGAAAGAAAAGAGGATGAAGCTTGCTTTCATCTCATTTGAAAATACAGGGCTGGGGCCAGGTGCAGTGGCTCAGGCCTGTAATCCCAGCAATTTGGGAGGCTGAGGTGGGTTGATCACTTGAGGCCAGGAGCTCAAGATCAGCCTGGACAATATGGTGAAACTCCATCTCTACTAAAAATACAAAAATTAGCTGGGTGTGGTGGTGTGTGCCTGTAATCCCAGCTACTCGGGAGGCTGAGGCATGAGAATCACTTGAACCCGGGAGGCAGAGGCTGCAGTGAGCTGAGATCACACCACTGCACTCCAGCCTGGGCGACAGCAAGACTGTCTCAAAAAAAAAAAAAAAAAAAAAAAATACAGGGCTAGGCAGGGAGAGAAGTGATGCTTCACAGAGAAAGGAGGGAACAGGGACCTGGACAACATGTCAAACTGCTCTGTCTCTGATGCAGAGAGGACTCCCAGGTCAGAGACGAGTTGGCCGACCTCTGGGGAAGCGCCCACGTTTATGATCTCGACTTCAGACCCCACAGACCTGGGGCTAAGTCCTGAACCCACCATTTCCCAGCCATGACCCTGGCTGAGGCACCTTCCTTCTCCAGGCCTGTTTCCTCATCTGTAAAATGGAACAAGACCAATACTGCCCTCCAGATAGTGATGAGATGCAACGGCACGGCAGGCATGGTGCCTAGTGTGTAGCGCAGGCTCAGTTGATCCTCCCTATGATTGCTGATGACTGGTCTGCACCCCTCTGCCTGTGTTGTTACTAAATACAAAGGATAAAGGCTCAAAGCCATCACTCAGCTCACTTCTGCCCCATTGGTGGGATATGGGTGTGTTGACCGGGGCTGCTCCAGTTTGCCCGGGATAGTTGTTCACTCTATCTGTAGTCATTAGACCTGCAGTAACTACATCCACAGCCTGGCACCCCACTGGACTAGCATCTCACTTTTAACTTAGTGTTGACAATAATTTAGTTGTCACCCTACTTATAGGCAATTTCTGGAAGGCAGGTGACCTCTCCAGGTTAGCAACAGAAAATAAATGCAGAGGCTGGGTGCAGTGGCTCATGCCTATAATCCCAGCACTTTGGGAGGCTGAGATGAGTGGATCACTTGAGGTCAGGAGTTTGAGACCAGCCTGGCTAACATGACAAAACCCCATTTCGACTAAAAATACAAAAAATTAGCTGGGTGTGACTATAATCCCAGCTACTCAGGAGGCTGAGGCAGAAGAATCACTTGAACCCAGGAGGCGGAGGTTGCAGTGAGCTGAGATTGCACCACCGCACTCCAGCCTGGGTGACAGAGTGAGACTCTGTCTCAAAAAATAAAATAAAATAAAATAAAAATAAAAACAGAAAAGAAACGCAGAAAGAACACACGGCGAGCAAGCGGCAGGGCCAAGATCGGGAAGGCTTTGGACTGCAGAGCTGCGTCTTTCCCCAACATTCCGCTCTCCTAACAGAGGAGCTGTGGGGACCACGGGCAAGCAGGAGAGCGCACCTCCTCCCTCATCACCTGCGGGATACACACGCACCTCGGCTCTGGCCTCCGGTGGTCTCTTTTTCCCAGCTGGCATCCCTTGCTCTTGGCCTGCACCCTTGCTGTCTCTTTCCTGCAGGACTGGGGTGGCGGAGGAATCCTCTTCCTCGGCCTCACTCCCTTCATCACAGTGCACGGCTTCATCTTCACTTTCCTCTTCCTCCGAGGAAGAGGACGACCCAGCCTTCACCATCTTGGATTTCAGGTAATCCATGTCCGACAGCTCCTTCTGCACAGCTGCCTTTGGTTCGAGGCTTGCCTCTTCTGGAAAAACAGGGAAGCTGGGATCAGCGACAGCTATGAGCAAACCAGAGGTCAGAGGTAGCAAATGGTAGATGGTCCTCCTAGTGAGAGGCCTGAGGCACCATGCCCACCGTGTCCATGGCCCCTGTGCCCAGCATCCCCCATAAGTCCTCTGATTAGCAATACCAAAACGGGGCAGGGCTACTGCAGCTTTGATATTCTCTGTGCCACACATTGAGCTCCTGGCTCCCTGCCACCAGCCATGTCTTCCTAGTCCTCTACACGGCAGCCTCTGTGACACTTTACAGAGTAGGTACAGGACGGTCAGTCTCTGCTTAATACCCTCCAGGGGTTTCTGAATGCTCAGGGTGAAATCCAGGCTCCTCATCAGGGCTGGCTGCGTGGGCTTCTTCCACTGTCTCCTCCTGCTCAAGCCATCCCAACCCACATTGAGCCCCTCAAGCCCATGCACTTTCCTTTCCTCTGTGTCTCTGCGATGCTGTTCCCTTGACTGGAACCCCTTTCCTCTCCCCTCCCCTACCGTGTCCCACTAAGTCCCCTGAGTTCCTCGGATGTGAACTTAGTGCAGAAACGTTACCAGGCATAACTGCACTAAATGTACATCTTCTCACCTTTAGACCCAAATAGATGCCCAGTTCTCCACCAAGCACGTACCCTCCTGTGTTGCAACTGTTTTCTTGCCCACCAGGCCTCCCCCACACCACAAACCCCTTCTGAGGACAAAGGCTCACTCCCTCACCTCCTCAGGGAGGCCTTCCCTCATAATTCTCCTGTCGCCTTTCCTGCTTTCTCTCTGTAGCATTCATCATCCTATGATATACCCAACAGTGGACTTATTTGCTTATTGTTTCTCTCCACAACCATAATCACAGCTCCATAGGGGAATAAACCCTTCTGTCTTTTGCTTATCAACATGGTCCCAATGCCTGAAGTATGCCTGGCAGATAATAGGTGCTCAAGAAATATTTGTTGACTGACTGACTGAATACACAACTAGGATCAGTGAAGACAGATGCACCTGCAGAGGGATCATCACCCCCAATGGAGAGCTCAAGGGCTCACCTGACTCCTAGAGTCTGCACAGAGGGGCCCCCAGTGCCGGTTAGCCCAATGGCAAGCACAGGTCCGTGCGCATGGAGCACACAGTCCCCATGCCCTCACCTTCCAGGTCCTCCCCGGCTCCCTCCTCCTCACTCTCCTGCCCAGAATCGGAGTCGAAGTTCAGGTAGTCACTGGCCGGCTTGCTCTTCCCTTTCGAGGGCTCAGCATCCAGGCCATCATTCGCCCAAGTGGCTGCCTGCGCCCGCCTCTGATGAACTGACAGAAACTCCTGGAACTCTGTATCCTCCTTCAGCTGGTGGCACCAGAACCCGGGCGGCAGGGACACGGGAAAAAGAGAGAGGAAGAGGCAGAGAAGGCTCAGGTGGGGCTTGATCTTTCTAACTCTTAAGAGGGTGAGAAGATCCCTCAAGCTAATTTCCCCCATTCTCTGGAGGACCCCGAGGTTCAGCTGGGTCAGTTCTGAGGAAGGCAGAGTTGACTCCTCACTAGACAAAACTAAGAGGACAAGAAGACAAGGCCAGGGGAGACCAGAGGCACAGCTCTGCTTGCCAGGGCCAGCCTCCATCCTCTCCAGCCTCTTCCCTCTCCCAGTGTCCACCCTCTCCAGCCTCTTCCCTTTCCTAGCCTCCACCCTCTCCAGCCTCTACGGTCTCCTAGCCTCCACCCTCTCCCAGCCTCTACCCTCTCCAGTCTCCACCCTCTTCCACCTGCTGCCCACCCTCTCTCCTCCTTGGGCAACAGGACAGACTCACCTTCTCCAGTTGACCTGCCACCTTTTTCTTCTTCTCATCCTGAAAACAGAAGGCACAGAGAGTGAGGGTCACACAGATGAAGAGAGCTGGGAAACAGAACTGCACTGACCTGGGAGGGCCCATCTTTGGGAACCAAAAGTGAGTGACTACCCTGCTGGCAGTGGGGACAGAGGCTAGAGTGACCCTTTACATACTTTCTTAATTTCTGGAGTAGTAGAGTCTTTTGGAGGCTGCTTGGGCTGGCTTGGTTTCTGGGCATGTTTGCTCCAGGCTCTGGGTTTGGCCGGGTCCCCGAATGACTTGCAGAACTCCACCTGTGTGGGAAAGAGAGTGATTTTCACACCTGCCATGGCACCCAGGCGTTGGGTGCTGCCCTTCGGCACCTGGGAGCTCGGGCATTTCAGACAACTGTCACTGCCTAGCTGAGTTTGCTGAAGTAGATTACACGTCACCCCTTAGCCTGGGCTTTCTTTCCCTTCAAGTCTAGAATACAATACTCTAACAGTCTATCATTATGAGTCTGTAATACTGTAATGGTAATAGCTGCCACTTACTGAGGAACTCCACATGCCAGGTACTGTCTGAAGTGCTCTGCAAGTACTGATACACCGAGCCTCTCATGTCAGTGACAGCTATGACTTTCTACAATTCAGATCAAGAAATTGGAGCATCAAGAAGTCAATTTCCCTGGCTTACCCAGGTAATAAGTGACAGAGTGAAGACTGGAACTCAGGGGGTCTCTGGGCTCTGGAACCTGAGTTCTTAACCATCCACTCTACCGGGCGGCTGTGAGGATGGCATGAGATGACCTGGGCCAAGCACTCAACCAGGCTCTGGGCAGGGTAATGTGGGGCAGTGGCTACCACAGTTACCCCACACTGCCCTGGGTTAATTATCATAAAGTAAGCTCATCTGGCTCCAGAGAACAATTCTAGGGTGATAGGGGCACTGGGGTGACCACTGGAGGGACGGAAGAGTACTGGAGACCCAGCCTGAGCTGACGCACTATTCAGGCCCTAAAACCTCCAATACACTCCTCTGAGAGGACTTTGAGAGCGCTGGTTACTGGGGCATCCACCACCGCAAGCCACTCCCAGCCACAGTTAAGGCTGACGCTGGTCAACCAACCACTGCCCCTGGGGGAAGGAGCTGCCATCTGGTTGCAATCCTTTTTAAGACACAGGGTCTCACTCCGTTGCCCAGGCTGGACTGCAGTGGCATGATCATAGCTCACTGCAGCCTCAAACTCTTGGGCTCAAGTGATCCTCTTGTCTCAGCCTTCTGAATACCTAGGACTCCAGGCACATGTCACCATGCCCGGCTAATTTTTTTTTTTATTTTTGTAAAGACGCAGTCTTGCTATGTTGCACAGGCTGGTCTTGAACTCCTGGCTTCAAGTGATCCTCCCACCTCAGCCTCCCAAAGTGCTTGTATTATAGGCAGGAGCCACCACACCTGGCCAGTTACAATCCCTTTTGTGCACACTTCCAAAATAGGCTTGTTATCTCTATAATAATGACATGCTCACGGTACAAAATTCAAATAATATACAAAAGTACAATGGAAGTTAAAAAAGATGTACTCCAATTCCTATCACTCATGGAGAGGAATGATTAGTATTTTGGTACAAATCCTATCCTATGGCCTTCTATGCATTTATCATATATGTATGGATAGAGGAATACGATTGTGTCTATATAGGATCACGAGACATATATATATTTATCCATCATCTGTTTTTTCCTTCTCAACAAAGCATTAGAGATGTTTTTACGAAGTCACTAAATACACGAGTGACCTGAGTGGAGCCCACTCCTCCAGGAAGCTTTCCTGACTCCTCCCTGGTCCGGCTATAGATCTTTGTTCTCCCACAGTCCCTGGGGCTCACCCTATCATAGCACTGATGTCACTGAGCCAAAGCAGCCTGCTGACCTGTCAGCCCCCTGCCTGCCCAGAGACAGCAGGCTCCATGAGGACAGGGGCTGAGGCATCACCTTTTTCTCTAAACTCCCAGCATCATTGAGTGCTTGCTAAATGCATGAGTGAATGGATGAGGTAGAGCTGTGGTTCTCAAGGTGTGGGCCTCAGACCAGCAGCATGGTCGTCACCTGAGGGCTTGTTGGATGTGTGAATTCTTGGGTCCTGACTCCATGCACTGAATCAGATGCTCTGGGGACGGGCCCAGGAAGCTGTTATAATAAGCTCTCAGGTGATTTGTATGCACATGAAAGTGTGTGAATCGGTGAGGAAGAAAACCAAAGACATCACAAAGTGAAGAGGGACGGTCTTTGAACTCAAGTGCTGAGTGAAAGATCAAACAACGTCACACTTGACAGGAAGGTAAGGGTGAGACTCCTGCCCACTCACTGTGATCCGGGATGTGTCGATGAAGCTCTTGTTGAAATGCTTCTGTGCCTTCTGGGCCTCTTCCTCGGACTTGAAGCCAATAAAACCAAACTTGCGGAACTTGCCATCTTTGGTGAACTTCAGGCTGCAGTCTGTCAGCGTGCCGAAGGCGGCAAACAGCTGCCTGAAACGCTCCTCCTTCATCTAGGACAGAGGGAAAGGAATGAGAGACGAACTGGAAAGTCCCCAGAGCAAGGGGACAAAATGGGCTGGAAACCTGAGGCCACGAGATTCTCCAAGGGTGGCCTTAGATGAAGAGGGGCAGAGTGTACTTTTCTAGTTACAACAGGTTCCAGCTCTGACTCTAGCACGAGTTGTGTGGCCTTGAGAAAGTCCCTTAACCACTCACTGATGTGGAAATCATGACTCATAATGGCTGCAAATGACATCTTCCTACCCTATGGGGCTCCTATGAGGATAAGACCAATTACAGAAGCAGTATTACGTCTGCTACATAGTAGATACCTAATAAATACTTGTAGGAATAAATGAAAGAATGAACAGGCATGGTAAGCTATATATATCTTTGTTAATAAAGCCCCCCCAAAAGATGCCCACATCCTAATCCCTGGAAACTGTGGATATGTTACCTTACAAGGCAAAAGGGACTTGTCAGGTGTGACTGATATGGAGATGGGGAGATGATCTGGATTATGCAGCCAGGTCCAATGTCACCTCAAGGGTCCTTATGAGAGGGAGGCGGGAAGATCAGAGAAGATGGAAACAGAAAGATTGGAAGATGCTATGCTATTGGCTCCAAATATGGAGTATATAGCTATGAACCAAGGAAGGCAGGTGCTTCTAGAAGCTGAAAAAAGGCAAAGGGACAGATATTCCCACAGAGCTTCCAGAAGGACTGCAGCCCTGCCAAAGCCTTGATTTTAGGATTTCTGACCTGCAAAACTGTAAGATAAGGATTGTCTGGATTGTTTAAGCCACTAAGTTTGTGCTAATTTGCTATAGCTGCACTAAAAAACTAACACACTATTATTATAATTTGGTCAAGAAGCCCCACACTATGGAAAACAGGCTCCTGGCTTCTCACCATCTTCACTGCAGCCAGGCTACCCTCACAACTCAGTTTTCTAAGCAGATACTGGGATATTTGTGTGTGTGGTAGTGGAGTTGAGGGGACATTCAGGGCCCCACGAACAGCCAAAATAAGTTTGAAAATGCAAGAAGCTAGAGGCCTTGGCAGTCCAGCCAGAAGATGACATTTTCTGAGGTAGCTTCTTACTAACTGATCTAATCAAAATCTCAATCACACTGTGAGTTAGGAATTTTTGTCCACATTTTATAGAGAAAATGAAACTCATAAGGGATAAATGATCTGCCCAAGGCCTACAGAATCAAGGTTTGTGACTCAATTCAGAAATATAAGACAGTGAATTCAATTCCTCAGTGCCTGGGAGAGACCTGGCTCAAGTCTGAATCCATCATTCCTTTGCCAAAAACCTTTCGGTGACTTTCTGGCACCAAAGTCTCAAGGACGAGCACCTAAAGGAAAACATGCAATTCTTCAAGATCTGCCCTGACCAACCTCTTCAGCACCACGCTTTGACAAATTTCTCACAGCCTTCTCACTTCCGAGGTTTTACTTTGGTTGTCCCCTCTGGGTGATATTTCCCAAGACAGGCCCTGGCTAACTCCTCATTCTCAGTTCAATCATCTCCTATTCCAGGAGGCCTTTCTTAGATGCCTTAGATGGACGAGATAACCAACCCTCACTGTGCTCCCACAGCACTCGGTTCACATGTCAGTGATGCACCTTGCATCGTAATGATCTGGTGCCTCTCTTTTCTGCTAGCCTGCAAGTCCCATTAAAAATAAGGACACAGGCTTATCCACCTCTATCTACAGTGTCAGCAATATCACAAGTACTCACTACTAATTATTTCCTCAATTCAATCCCTAAACTAAAGATTGCTCAATTCAATCCCTGCTCTATAAATTACACCAGTGTGTGACCTCAGGCAAATCCCTGTACCTCGCTGTATCTTGGTTTCTTTACCTTTAAAATGGGCGTAAAAATAAAACTTACCTCACAGGGATATGGTGAGGATTAAATGTTACTTTACCTAAAGCACCTGGAACAGTGCCTGGCACACAGTAAACTCTCCAAGTGTCAGCTGCAACTGCCCTTGTTTTTATTATTCTTTCATTCATGAGATAAGACAAACAATGATAAGAGAGTCAACTACACTGTGAAGTGCAACAAAGCTGAATTTGGGAAGAAAAGGAAGTGCAGCCACGCTAAAAATCCTCATCGCACAAAGCAAGGCATCAAGAGACATGTCTAACCTGATGGATGGATGAGTAATAGATATTTTTAAGTATACTACTCAGAGATTATAACAGGATAATTAAAAACAAGAATATTACAGACACTGGAGAGGAGGAACAGATGATCTAAATTCCTTATTTTTCACAGTTGAGGCCTAGCAGATAGTCACTGGGGCAGGCAGGTCAAAAGGAGGAAAGTACACTCCTCAAATATACAGAGATACATGTGAGGAGTCCCAAAAACAAATCAATGAAGATGGTTACTCCTGGACAGAGAGGGAAGGTAGGACAGAGCAAAGACTTTGCTACTCATGTTATACACTACTATACTGTTTGAATTTTGAAAACTGTGTGTTACAAAGTTCCTTTGTCCCACCTGACAAATGAAAAAAAAAAAAGGAAAGGAAAAAACTCACAACATTAGAACAGAAATGGGGGCCAGGTGCAGTGGCTCACGCCTGTAATCCCAGCACTTTGGGAGGCCGAGGCGGTGGATCACCTGAGGTCAGGAGTTCGAGACCAACTTGTCCAACATGGCGAAACCCCATGTCTCTACTAAAAATAAAAAAATTAGTCGGGCTTGGTGGCGCGTGTCTGTAGTCCCAGCTACTTGGGAGGCTGAGGCAGGAGCATCGCTAGAACCCGGGAGGCAAAAGTTGCAGTGAGCCGAGACTGCCGAGATTGCTCCACCGCAGTCCAGCCTGGGAGACAGAGCCAGACTCCGTTTAAAAAAAAAAAACAAAAAAAGAAAAAAACAAAAAACAAAACCAAAAAAAGCCATGAAAGAGAGAGAAAAAAAAGAGATAAGACAAACAATGATAAGAGAATCAACTACACTTGAAACACAACAAAGCTGAATTTGGGAGGGAAAGGAAGTGCAGCTACGCTAAAAATCCTCATCCCACAAAGCGAGGCATCAAGAGACACTGTCTAACCTGATGGAAGGAGCAGTAATCCATTTAAAAACAAAAAAACAAAACAGAACAAAAAACAGCGAGAGAGAGAAAAAAGGATGATCCATTCGAGCCCACCGCATCTAATCATCTAATATTACGTACATTCACCTATTTTGCCTACCACGTGTCGGGTTCTGCGCTGGGCTCCAGGGAAACAAAAAAGTATGGCTGGGTCACCACTCCCCACTTACTGGATAAATGCTGTAAAGCCCTTTACCCACTCCGTATTCCTACTTGCCCTAAGGATGGGAGTGGGAATTGGAACGCAGGTCCGCAGATTAATATTCCCCATGTCTTCCCCAACAGTTTCCAGACTGGGAGAGGAATATAAATACAGTGTCGGACCATGTCCCGGGTCAACAACTAAAAAACAGTGATCGAATGAAAGAGGTTGTGGGAGCAGGGTATTCGCCACAAGGTGGGAGTTGTCATCTCCCCGAGAAGAGGTGTGTTAGGAGTCAGGTACCAAACAACCGGCCGTGAAACCGTAAGCAGTCACTATTCCTCTTTCCTCGGGATCAAATGGGGATAAGCCCAGGATCCCGCCCCCTTTGAGTTCAGAATTGGCCCGGAGTCCTGCCCCAGAGCAAAAATTCTTCGATCACCTCCAGGCATCTCTTCCCTACCTCACAGCTCCCGGCTGGTCTCATTTCAGATTCCCAAGTCCTGCCTCTGCACTCACCCCATTCGGGAGATTCTTCACGATCAGTCGCGACATGGCGCAGGGTCCCCGCTGTTTTGATTCCAACACGACTGGTCAGCGTCTTCCACCAAGTTTCACGCTACCGCCCTGGGCGCCGCCATCTTTACCGAGCCGGAACACAGTCACGTGGCTGAGACCTTGGCCTGACCTGTCCGGAAGTAGGCGTGGCTAATCCAAAACTACTCAGGGAGGTCACACCCCACAAGGGGTGGGCCTGGGCGCTTGCATTTTGCGCAGGCGCAGGGCCTTGGGCGGATTCTGTGAGACGCCAATGCAGCGGAGAAGGCGGCAGGGGGCGCCGGTCCCTAACATGCGCCGGTTTAGCTCGGTGTTAAGGGTCGCGCCAACCGGGCAATCGCGTTCTCTCCTTTTTCTTATTTTATTTTTATTATTGAGCCTTAGGACTCCCCTGAGAACGGGGGCAAGATTAGGGACCCTTGCCTTCCTCGTAGAAATGGGGAAAGTGAAGTTTAGAGAGATTGCCAGCCAACACAAATCAAGTATTGAGCCTTTTGTGTAAATACTTGGAATGAACATGTTGGAAATAAACGCTCTCATTTTGCAGGCAGATAAACTGGGAATCGTGCGTGTAAAGCAGCTTGCTCAAAGTCTTATAACTATGAATTGGAAAGTCAGATTCGAGCTAGGGACTGCCTAGGGCCCTACAATGAGTCTCTACGCCTTCAACCCCAGCCCCACAAGCATTTTGCCTCCCTTCCTAATGTTTGGAACTCTCAGCTGGCCAATCTTCTAGCTGAGAGATCTTGGCCAAAATGGCCTCTGAGCCTTTGTGTCTACTTCTATAAAATGGGAATAATTCTTTATTATGCTAGGGGTTAAGGAGGTGAGAACGTGAAAGGGATGTTATTTTCCTATTGCTTCTCTGAGCATTCTCGGTACCTACTCTTGGATGGAGACATCCTATGAAAACCCCTATTTTCACTCTTAAATGACGGTATTTCCTTTCTGTTTCCCCACAGTGCCTCAGCTGCACTGGACGTTGCTGCCAAGCTTCTGCAATTTCCTTCACCTAAAAGACATTCCGTCCCCCCTTCTTATTGTTAACAGCTTTATCACAAACCATGCAATTCACCCACTTAAAGTGCACAATTCAATGGTGCTGACTATATTTACAGAGGTGTGCAGCCATCACCACAATCAATGCTAGGACATTTTCATTACCCCCAAAGAAACACCACACCCTTTAGCTATAACCTTCCAATTCCTCCCTCTCCCTTCCCTCTGATAACCACTAATCTACTTTCCGTCTCTATGGATTTGTCTGTTATGGACATTTCATGTAAATGGAATAATACAATATGTAGTCTTTTGTAATTGACTTCTTTCACTTAGCATAATGTTTTCAAAGTTCTTCCATGTTGCAGCATGAATCAGCACTTTATTTATCTGTTTATTTATTTGAGACAGGGTCGGGCTCTGTCACCCCGACTGGAGTGCAGTGGCACAATCTCAGCTCACTGCAACCTCCGCCTCCCAGGCTCAAGCCATCCTCCCACCTCAGCCTCCTGAGCAGCTGGGACTACAGGCACATGCCACCATGCCTGGCTAATTTTTTTTTTTTGGTAATTTTTTGGTAGAGGCGAGGTTTCAACATGTTGCCCAGGCTGGTCTTGAACTCCTGGGCTCAAGCAATCCACCTGCCTTGAACTTTCAAAGTGCTGGGATTACAGACGTGAGCCACCACACTTTTTTTGCTGAATAGTATTACATATATGGATGTATTACATTTTATTTATTCATCAGTTGATGATGGACATTTGGGTTGTTTCCGCTTTGTGGCTACTGTGAATAATCTTGCCGTGAACATTTACCTGTAAGTTCCTGTGTGGGCATATGTTCTTATTTCTCTTGGATATATTCCTAGGAGTAGGATTGCCTGATCATATGGTAACTCTATGCTTAACCTTTTTAGAACCTGCTAACCTGTTATCCAAAGTGGCTTCCCCATTTTATATTCCTACCAGCGGTATATGAAGGTTCAAATATCTCCACATCTCCTCCAGTGTTTGTTATTGGGTCTTTATAATCATAGCCACTCTAGTGGGTGTACAGTGGTGACTCAATGTTTTGATTTGCATTTCCCCGATAACTAATGAAACAGCATCTTTCATGTGCTTTTGGCCACTGGAATATCTTTCTGAACCCATTCCCATCCCCTCTCTAAGACCAGCTCAAACATGGCATCCTCGAATATGCCTCTTTCCTACTGAGCCCCAAATGCAGGGAGCTCATGCATCTGCCACAGCATAAACCTACAGAACTCGCTGGTGAGGAGCGCACAGTGTAGGTTCAGAGTTATAGATGAGGCCACTTGTTCTTTCTACATTATGTTGCCATAGGGGCATCCTTAGATCCATCTTTGCAAAGCATCACACTGGGCACCAGGAGGAGACAGGTAATAGGAGTTCATTAAATGCTAATTGTAAATTAAGGTCTGTCCATTCAACAGAATTCTATGCAGTTGTTAAAAAACGGTAGGTATGTAGCTATAAATGTTTTTGAAGGAAATGCATCAGTCAGCAGGACACAGAGGTATACTCAAAAGGATTTAACAAAAGCAAATCTGGACAAAAAGCTATTTACAGAAGGGTGGGCAGTGTAGTGGGATGAATGATCCCCTGTCCCCTCACCACCACACACACTGGGGGCATCCTGACCCCTGGAAGCTGTAAATGTGACTTTATTTGCAAAAAAGTGTTGTATTAGTTTGTTCTCACGCTGCTAATGAAGACATACCTGAGACTGGGTAATTTATAAAGGAAAGAGATTTAATGGACTCACAGTTCCACATGGCTGGGGAGGCCTCACAATCATGGTGGAAGAGCAAGGGATGTCTTACCTGGTGGCAGGCAAAGAGAGAATGAGAACCAAGTGAAAGGCTTTCCCCTTATAAAACCATCAGATCTCGTGAGACTTATTCACTACCACGAAAACAGTATGGGGAAACCACCCCCATAATTCAATTATCTCCCACTGGGTCCCTCCCAGGACACGTGGGGATTATGGGAGCTACAATTCAAGATGAGATTTGGTGGGGACACAGCCAAACCATATCAAGGGTCTTTGCAAATGTACTTAAGGGTCTCAAAATGAGATCATCCTGAATTATCCTGGTAGACCCTAAATCCAATGACACATGTCCTTTTAAAGGACACACAGAGAACGTCATGTGTAGGTGGAGGTAGAGTCTGGAGTGATGCAGTCACAAGTCAACGAAGACCTGGAGCCACCAGAAGCTGAAAGAAGCAAGGAAGCGTTCTCCCTTGGAGGTTTTGGAGGGAGCATGGCCCTGCTGGTGCTTTGGGGGATTCTGGCCTCCAGAAATGTGAGAGAATAACTTTGCATTGTTATGCCATCTAATTTGTGGTAATTTGAGACAGCACCTGCAGCAAATGAATACAGGAAGGGTTAAGGGAACCAACAAAGGATGGCCAAACCCCAGGGCCTGGCAACAGTGGGGAGCTATCACCACCCCTGGGGCTGAAGGGCAGAGTAGGACATGTCATTCCTGAGCTTCAGTGATGCCAGGAGCCATGGAAGAGGGACGTACTTTAAGGACTAGAGCTATAGAGAGATACAGCCACTGTGGAACCACAGGTGTGTGTGTGTCGGGGATAAATACACTGTCCCCTCTTTCTCTTCCCAACTGCAGTTTCCTACTGGAGCCTCCCCTTGGCCGAACCAATGGGAAGCTGGAGGCATGATCACAGATGTTGCAGTGCACACAGATTGCATCTGGGGCACAGAGCAAAGTGGAGGAGCAGGCTCAGGGAATGGGAGATGGGCTGTTAGAGAAGAACTAGCACATGGGACATGGGACAATCTCCAAAATATATTGTTAAGTGAAAACCAGCAATATACTAAATAATGTATTATGTATGCTTTCACTTAGGTAAAAACAAAACACACACACAAAAAAAGGAGGGAGATGGGTGAGGATACATAGATACTTGTCATGTTTGTAGGCCAGGGTAGTCGTAAATTTCCAAATGTATTGTCTTGCAGTTCTGAAGGCTAGAAGTTCGAGATGAAGGTGTTGGCAGCGCCGGTTCCTTCTGAGAGCCGTGAGGTTGAATCTGTTCCTCCCTGTCTCACTTCTGGTGGTGTGCTGGCAATCTTTGACACTCTTTGGCCTGTAGACATGTCACCCCGATCTCAGCCTTCATCTCCACATGACAGTCTCCCTGTGTCCATGAGTTCATGTTCAAACTTCCCCATTTTAAAAGACATTGGATTAAAGCTAATTCTAATGACCTCATTTTAATATAGTTACCTCTGTAAACACTCTATTTCCAAATAACATCACTTTGTGAGGTATGAAAAGTTAAGACTCCAACATAGGAATTTGGAGGGGACACTATATATGATTTATGTAAGCAAAGGCGATCTCAAAAGATACATGAGGAAGTGGTAACAGCAGTTGCTTCTGGGGAGGGGACCGAGGAAGTGAGTATACGGATGGATGGAAATGTCCTTTACCTTGAGTAACCTTTTATAATTTTGATATTTCATTATGAAAAAATTACCTATTATTTTTAATACATTAAAATGTTAATCATGTATAAACTACATCTGCATATATTTATACTTAACCATAGGGTAAAGTCAACAAGCATGTATATTAATTGTGGGCATTTCTGCAGGATGGCTTTGGAGGGGTGAAATTGTAGGGAGCCCAGTAAATCTTTATGTATTTATTTTGGGTTTTGTCTTTTTTTTTTTTTGAGACGGTAACTGGGATTATAGGTGCACACCACCGTGCCTGGCTAATTGTTTGTATTTTTATTACAGATGGGTTTCACTGTGTTGGCCAGGCTGGTCTCAAATTCCAGACCTCAAGTGATCCACCTGCCTTGGCCTCCCAAAGTGCTTGGATTACAGGCATGAGTGACTGTGTCTGGCCTTTTTTTTTTTTTTTTTTTTTTTTTTGAGACAAGGTCTTGCTCTGTTGCCCAGACTGGAGTGCTGTGGTGTGATCAGGCCTTACTGCTGCCTTGATCTCCTGAGCACAAGTGATCCTCCTTCCTCAGCCTCCGAAGTGGGTGGGACTACATGCATGCATTACCACACCCAGCTAATTTTTAAATTTTTTGTAGAGACAGGGTCTGGCTTTGTTGCCCAGGCTGGTCTCAAATTTCTGGGCTCAAGTGATCCTCTCGCTTTGGCCTCCCAAAGTGCTGGGATCACAGGTGCACGCCACCATGCCCGGTCTGTATATGTTTTAAATCAGAGATTGGCAAACTTTTTCTTAAAAAGTCAGAGAGTATTTCACTATGTGGTCTCTAATGCAACTTCTGCATCCTGCTACTGTATTTTGAACACATCCAGAGCTAACATCTGTGGCCGTGTTCCAATAAAACTTTATTTACAAAACCAGGAAGCCACCCCATGAGCTATAGTTTTAAGTTACAGGATTATGGGGTGTATTGATTTTCTAGGGCTTCTATATCAAATTACCAGAAACTGGATGGCTTCAAACAACAGAAGTGTATTCTCTTGCAGTTCTGGAGGCCAGGAATTTAAAATCAAGGTGTCAGCAGCGCAGTGGTCTCTCCAAAGGCTCAAAGTGGAAGGATCCTTTTTTGTCTCCTCCAGTTTCTGGTGGCGGTAGGTATTCCTTGGCTTGTGGCTGCATAGCGTCCGTCTCTGCCTCTGTTTTCACATGACCTTCTCCACTCTGGTGTCTGAGTCAAATCCACCTCCCTATGCTTCCTCTTAGCAGGACACCTGCCATTAAGCTTAGGACCCACTGTAACTCCAGGTCAATCTCATCTTGAGATCCATAGGTGATTATATCTGCATAGACCCTTTTTCCAAAAAGAGTCACATTCACAGGTTTTGAGGATTAGGATGTAGGCATATCTTTTGGGGGCTGCTGTTCGACCCATGAGATCTGCTTGCTTTGTAGTAGTCTACTCTGAAGATCAGATTTCACCCTCTCTCTGTCTTGTGTAGACTGTCTATTCAATTAAAACACATATGCATGTAAAAATGTACCCTCAAGCCTGGAGTCGATGACTTACGGGTCACTGTGTTTCAAAGTCAACAGATATTTATTGTTATGTCTTTAATTAAATAATAACTGGAGGGTTGTTTCCTGCACACTGTGATATTTAACAGATATTTATTGATATGTGATATGAATTAAATGACAACTGGGGGGTTGTTTGCTCTAAACCGTGACCCTCGTTAGGGTGGGCTGGGGCAGGCTTTATGAGGCAGCTCTGAGATATTAGTTTTACAAGAGGGCCAATGTTGCCCAGCCAGTCCTAGTTTCACATACTTTTATTATTTTCATGAACTGCCTTTATTAAAACATACAATTCAATGTAGCCTGCCCTAAAAAAATTCACAAATCAGAAGGTCTTTCAAAGGTATTAAAAGAAAATGGAATGCCAGTTACGAATCCCCACATCCCAATTCTGGGTCCAGAAAATATGGTTGCCACATGTGGGGAGGAGAGACCATTCTCAGGCCATATATTCCCGTGCATTTAATAAGCAGCCACATTATAACATTATTATTAGTCTTCCTGCTCTCCAGCCTTCCTGTTTTGTCTCCTGCCTCCTTTTTTCTCCCATCAGAACTAATCCAGGGGCACCTAGATGCCACCAGGTTGGGCTCTCCAATTATACCTAGATGTTTAAAAAATTCAGTCCCGTCTAAGCCAGCTCCATCCCTGGGCTTCATCAGCGTACTTCTTTGGGAGGCTGAGATAGGAGGATCCCTTGAGCCCAGGAATTCAAGACCAGCCTGGGCAACATAGTGAGATCCTGTCTACAAAAAAGTACAAAAATTAGTAAAGTGTGGTGGCGCACGCCTGTAGACCCAGCTACTTGGGAAGCTGAAGTGGGAGGATCACCTGAGCCCAGGAAGTTGAGGCAGCAGTGAGCTATAATTGTGCCACCACACTCCAGCCTGGGCAACAGAGGGAGATCCTACCTCAAAAACAAAACAAAACAAAAAGCATAAGTGTACGTACTTGAGGACGTGAGAGAAGTAGTGCCTGGTCCCTGAGGGAATTAACTTCTCAGCTGGAGAAAGGCCAGTTATTGGGGAGGGATTCTAGAAGGTTCTAGAAGAGAATGGAGACAGGAGAGGAAAGCAAACTTGATTTCCTTCCTATGTCAGTTGGTCCCCATGAGTGGGACCAATGGGCACCCAGATGCTGTGGCTAGAAACCTAGGGGTCATCCTCAGCCCACCCCTCACTCATCAGCCTATGTCTAACCCATCATCAAGTTCTGCCAACCCCATTTTTTAAAGATTTGCCAAACACATCATCTTTTCCGTCTCCACCGCTATCAGGCTAGTCCAAGCCCATATTGTATTCATTTCCTGTAGCTGCTGTAACAACCCCAAATTTAGTGGCTTAAAACCACACACATTTATGATCTGCAGTCTGGACAGCAGAAACGCTAAAGCCGAGGGTGGCGGGGTAGGGGGGCGGTGGCAGGGCTGCTTCCCTCTGGAGGCTGCAGGGGAGAACCTGTTTCCCTTAGCTCGCGGCTCCTCCCTCCATCCTCAAAGTTCTCTCTTTGACCCTCTGGGCTGTGGTCACATCTCCTCTTCACTCTGACCCTCCTGCTGCACCTTTGTCACTACACTGGGCTCACCTGGATAATCCAGGGTCATCTCCTCACCTCAAAATCCTTAATTTATCAACTGAAAAAGTCCCTTTGCTGTAGAAGGCGATGTACTTACAGGTTCCCGGGATTAGGACGTAGACACCACTGGTGGACGTTATTCAGCCCACCAAACCTATCATCTTGCCCATGTTATTCCAGCAGCCCCCTCATTGGTCCCCTTGTTCTGTCTTTTACTTCTACGGTCTTGTTAAAACAAAAGCCAGACTGACCAGTGCCTTCTCTGCCTAAGCCTCCCAGTGCCCCCAGGGCCTGACCCAAAGAAGAAGGCGTCACCTCAGCCTCTGACTTTGCTTCATCCCTTCTAGCCTCCCTGCTCATCCTCAACCCCCTCCTGCAGGATTCTGCCCCGAGACCTTTGCAATCTGCCATGTTCTCTGCCTAGAGCACCTTTCCCCCTCCATGGGTCCCCTCTGTCACTTCCCCCAGGTGTCTGATCAAAGTTCATCTTCCCAGAAAAGCCTTCCCTGGCCACCATCTCTGAAAGGGCACCAACCATTCCATTCTACCCCATCCCTCTCATCCCCCATAGTCCATTTTTTTCTGTTTTCTTTTTCTTTCTTTCTTTCTTTCTTTCTTTCTTTCTTTCTTTCTTTCTTTCTTTCTTTCTTTCTTTCTTCTTTCTCTTTCTTTCTTTCTTTCTTTCTTTCTTTCTTTCTTTCTTTCTTTCTTTCTTTCTTTCTTTCTTTCTTTTCTTTCTTTTTTTTTTGAGACAGAGTGTCTAGCTCTGTTGCCAGGCTGGAGTTCAGTGGCACGATCTTGGCTCACTGCAACCTCCGCCTCCAGGGTTCGAGCGATTCTCCTGTCCTGGCCTCCTGAGTAGCTGAGACTACAGGCGCATGCCACCACACCGGCTAATTTTTATATTTTTAGCAGAGATGGGGTTTCACCATTTTGGCCAGGGTGGTCTCGATCTCTTGACCTCGTGATCCACCCGCCTCGGCCTCCCAAAGTGGTGGGATTACAGGTGTGAGCCTGGCCTAGTCCATTTTTTCATCGTGTTATTATGACCTGGCATTTCTTACTTTTTATGTGCCTGTTTGTTGGTCTCCCCCAGTAGCAGCATTATCCATGAAAGCAGAGATTGCTCTGATTTATGCACTGGGTGTCCCTGGCACCCAACCCTGTGCCCAACCAGACCCTCTGAGGCAAGACCTTTGGTTTGAATTGTTTTCTGACCCTTTATTGACCAAACCTTGAGGAATTGAGTCGATGGGTAACCATAGCTGCAATGCAAGAGAGATTTTGGGTGAGGGTTGGGGGTTGGGAGAGAAAGGAGAAGGAAACTTTCCCTGCTTGGCATGAGATGGGCAGGGTGAGGACAACAGTTTCAAGAGGTGAAAATGTGCACAGGAACTGAGAATTCAGCTTTGTTCAGGGTGAGGGGTAATAGGGAGAAAG